>NC_000010.11:84991580-85143095 GCF_000001405.40 Homo sapiens
AATAGGCCATGGACCTCAGCTTACTAGAGTTGCATTTTATGTGGCAGAGAGAGAGAGAGAAAAAGAGAGAGAGAGAGAAAGAGAGAAAGTATGTGAGTAAATAAATTACTTGCAATGTATACAAATCTACATTATTCATATAAAAATCTAGATTTCTAGCTTCTGTTTTAAAAAATCTGATGATAATGCAGAGACTGCCTTTACACGTGACTGCATTACCTGGGAGGTAAGTAGCAAATTCCCTTATGGATGGGACATGGACTTCCTTTGGGCACAGCCCCATCACTCCCTAAATTCTTCCCCTGCCACTGAGACTGTCAGTTGTATTTACCAGAGTGCTTTTGCTTTTGCTTTTCTTATATTCTGCTTCACTCATTTACATTCCCTGCCTAACTGTTGTCAACCTCTGCATGGGTAGCCCCTGATTTATGGAAACTTCTCCCTTCATAACCACACTCCAAGGGCCACTAGTGGACAACCAGTTTCTAAGAATTTTACTTGCCCTCTATGACTCCATCTCCACAGTCTGATAAGTGTTCAAACTCTTCTCTTTAGTATTTAAAACACTGAGAAACTTTCATTATCTTTCCCCAAACCCCCTCACCTTATGTCCCACCACTCTCATGCCTATATGAGGGGCCTATATGCCTATTGCATCTTTTCAAAGCAAATTGACTAAACAGTGATATCCAGACGACATCACTGGAATTGTGCTTTCCTGTCCCAACCAAACTACTCATCTCTCCGAAACCCGATTGTCCCTCCTTATAAGTGGCAAGTTAAGAAACAATAGATTCATCCTCATTCCTCTCTTTATCTCACAAAGCACATCCAATCAATTGGCAAACTCTTTCAGTATTACCTCCAAAATTTCCCTTAGTTCCAAGTGCTGTACTCCAAACCACCTCCAAAGCCACCGTGACAGCACAAGCCACTATACGCTGTCAGATCATATTAATGATCTCCTGATAGGTTCCCCACTTCCATCATTGCTCCCCGATAGTCTATAGTCAACACAGCAGCCAGTTCATTCTTCTGGAATGTAGCCCAGATCATGCTATCATTTGTTCAAAGCCCCCTTTCATTTCTTCTCTGATGTCTTCTCCTAATGACCCCTCCACCATCAACTCATTCCAGCTATACTGCCTCCTCACTTTTCCCTGGAAACCTCAGACATGTTCATTCCAAGGATGCTGAGTACTTGCTGTCCCCTCTACCTGGAAGCCTATTTCCATGTACATTTGCAAGACTTATGATATCACATCCTTTAGAACGCAGATAAAATGTCAACTGCTCTGACTCCACTACTTAAAATTATAACCTACTCCGCAACTCCAAGAAATCCTTATTTAATTTTTCCCCATAGCTCTGTTCATCATCTGACACTATTTCACTTACCTTTTCACTCATTTCCTGTTCCCTCTGCAGGAACTTTATCTGTTTTGTTTTCTCATTTACCTGCATTTTCTAGAGTGGACCTGGACCTAAGGCAACTGCTCAATTATATTTGCTGGATAAATCAATCAATGCCTTCTCTTGCTTGATTAACCCTTCCCTGGACAGGAAATTTCTTCTCAATACCTAACTAAATCTAGCCAATTCTCAGAATGTAGGCACCTTTTTTACATCTTCCAAGAAGTCTTTCTCATTATTCTTCCTAACTACTACATTTCCTGAAGTTACGATAATAGATGGAAAAAGACCAGTAGAAATGATTGCATGTTTATCCGGAAAATTGAGAATGGGATTGTGGGTCTTTATGACAATTTCAACAAGTAGGTGGAGGCACAAAAAGTGACCAAAAAAAAAAAAAAAAATCTGTGTGAAGCTACCATCTGTGCTGCAAAGCTATTCCCTCTGAACTTGCTGAACCACTTTCTCAGACTCTACTGGGCTGAAGTAGAGACATTCACGGATTTAAAAAACAATGTTTCAGGCAGACAAAGAAGCAAGAGAAAATAACAGAAAAGATAGCTGCATATTTTAGCCTACTGGTTATCTGTTGCTGCGTGATAAACTACCCCAGCACTTAATGGTCTAAAACAGCAGGTGTTTATTACGGATCACAAATTTATGAACAGGCAGTTCTGTTGATTTGCGCCGGACACCACTGACGCCTTCTGGGTTTGCTTAGGTGTTTTTGTCAGCTGGTAGGTGGTAGAGGGCTGGCTGGTCTTGGGTAGCTTTGCTCTCCTTTCTGGCATTAGCCGGCAATTTTGAAGAATGACAGGGGTGACTGGGCCACACATCTGTTGTTTTTCAGTATACTGACCTGAGCTTGTCCTCCAGGTGTCAGGGCTCCCAGAGGTTCATGGAAACACCTAAGGTTTCTTGGGGACTGGGGGAACTTACAACTGTGCAGTGTAACCATATATACTGTCCCAAGAGTTTGATTTTAATACTTCAATTCTCATAGACAAGTTTGGGACAGAAGGTTAATTGCAAGATCAACCTCTTTGCATATATACTGAAACCTTCAAATATAGAATAAAAGAACTTTAAAAGACAGTATCTTGCTTTACTTAGGAAGAGCTTGGAATGCATTTAGCCACATGCAGCACTCTGCAAAAGTGTGCATGGCCTTTCAAGCTTGAAGAGAGAAGACACAAACATCAAAAACAGCCTGTTCCCTTCAGCAGTCAGAACCCAGAGGGGTCGTCAGAGTCTCTGAGCTCCAGGCTTGGGGTAAATAAAAATTTATGTCTTGTACCTTGTGCAATGAGGCAAAAGGAAAAGACTGAAATAAACATGGGGAAAGAGACAGAGGACTTGATGGATATGAGGAGATTGTGGGATAAAGAAATTCAGAGAAAGTCAGCTGGGTGAGGGAGGAAGTAGGCTTGAGAACCATTGTGTCCAGGGCCTTTTGGCTTTGGGGCTGCTTGGCCTCATTTTGAAAAGATGTTGCTGAAACAGTGTTTATGCTGCATGATACAATAATACTGCAGATTGTCAAATGAGGCCAAATCCTAGGTGGTAAGGTAGGATCCCCGCAGGGCAAGTCTTGGAAGCTGTTTCTTCTTCATTTCTCACATTTTAATATTTTACCAAATTGCTTGATGTCAGCTATGTCGTAATTTAATTTTCTTGGAAATTAGCATGTTTCAGTTTGTTTTTCTTACTCACTATTTTGGAGACAGCCTGGTTAAAACCTTCCCACTCATGAAATTTCTAGTCAAAATATTTTAGGAAGGAAGCTCAAACATTCATTGTTTGCCTCATTAAAAATTAACTCAGGCAGATGGAGAAAGAATACAATGTGTGCTTTCCTCTCAGTCAGATTTATTGTCTGTCCCTGCCTTCATCCAGCACACTAGGACATAATCTTTCTCCACAAGGGCCATAGGACCAGGTGCAAGAACACAGCTGCATTTTTTCAGAAGTGAGACTGAGGTTAAGATATCTTGTGGTGGTCACACAGATTGAGAAGTGGAGTCGGAGCTGGAGCTGCAGTTATGGGGACAAGATCAGTGTTGCCCTCTAGTTTTGTCCATTTGCATTGCTATAAAGGAATGCTTTGAGACTGAGTAGTTTATTTAAAAAAGAGGTTTATTTGGCTCACAGTTCTGCAGGCTGTACGTGAAGCATAGTGCTGGCATCTGCTTCTGGTGAGGGCCCCAGGAAGCTTACAGTCATGGAAGAAGGTGAAGGGGAGCCAGCATGTCACGTGGAATGAGAGGGAGCAAAAGAGAGGGAGAGGAGGTGATGCCAGACTCTTTTAAACAACCAGGTCTCATGTGAACTCATAGAGTGAGAACTTCATTCTTGTTACCTCCAGAACAGCACCAAGACATTCATGAGGGATCCGCCTTCATGACCCAAACACTTCCCACTGGGCCTACTTCCAACAGTGGAGGCCATATTTCAACTTGAGATTTGAAGGGGACAAAACATCCAAACCATATCACTCTCAAAGCATCGTAGCAGGACAAGAAGGAGGCCTCAGACTTTCCTAGTGCAGAAAACATTAAGAAAACATGTCTTCTCTAAACCCTAACCTCAAGGGAATATATTAGACATTGTGCCTGCCCTCCATCTGTTCTTGGGTCCCCTGCCTGTGAAATACCTTGGATCCTTTGCTTTTGGTTCAGTCATGCGTTCATTTCTGCAAGGGCTCATCCACCCCCTCCTATGTGCCAGGTTCTCTCTTAGGTGATGCAACACAGAAAACAACATATTCCTTGCCCTCATGGAGATCATAGTGTCACAGGAATTTGCATTATAAGAATCTACTGAGCAACACAAGTCTTCTGATGAGGCAAGTACAGGATCTTGTAGGAGCACATAGGAAAGGCATCTGACAAAGCCTGAATTATTGACATGTATGTTTGGGAACATGGCTCCCATTCTCACTTCTTGCAATTTTTTTTTCACTCCAGAACACAGGGAAGGGTGAAAATCTGTTGGGAAAGATGTCATCATCGTCTTTCCAGGGCTGGGCAGGCCACTGAACAGTCATGTGCTACTCTCCACCTTGGACAACAGAATCTTGAAAATGGTTCATGGCCCAGAGCCTGGAAGCTAAGTCTTTTGCAAGGAGATGAACCCTAGGGAGAGAAAAGGGGTCACCATATTTTCTACCCTCACCCAAACCTGATTCTATCCCCAAACAGTGCCACTCTTCATTCTATTCCTCATTATCTGAGGATAGCAGTGTTGAAGAGCCATAATGCTCAGACATTACGATCAGCAGTTTCACAGACTTGATATCATTTAATCTTCCCAACGGTGCTCTGAAGGAGTTACAATTTGTCCCTGTTTTATAGATAAAGAAATTGAGACAGAGAGCAATTTGTTAACTTACAGACCCATCATGCTCATCCTCAAATAAGTGAACACACTTCTGCCTGAACTCTCAAGCTCTAGTTCTCTGCCCACTTTGATTCTCAAATAGAGACAAAGGTGGACAGCAGAGAAGGCTCCTGAAGCTTCTTTTCAGAGATCTTCTGGGGCTCCCTAGTATGCAAAGAATCCAGTCTCAAGCAAAGAATACACTCCAAGAGTATCTTGGAATGTAGGCCTCTCTATTATCAGTTAATATTGCTTTCAAATTCAAATCCATTTTTCTAGCTTCAGCTCTTCTCCAGTCTGTCTTTCTCCTCTGCTGCAGTGACTCCCAAATACTCACTTGTCTCTCAATGTGTCCTTCAGGTTTCACGGCACGCCCCCCACTCCGCCCTCCCTCCTTGTTGTTTATATGTTCTCACTGCTTGAAAGGTCCTATATATTGCCATTTCTTGAAATTGCCCTTCCTTCAGAGACCAGCTTTCACCATAAAACTTTCTTTTATGCCTCCCAGGAGAATATAAACTTACTGTCTTTCATGCTTATAAATCTCTGCAATAAAATTTTATTATACCCCTTCCCTCTGTTGGCTTTTTGCTCTGTCTTTCCCACTAGAACAGGAGCTCCTGGAGGGCAGGGGCAATGCTTATGTTGTATCCTGCACAATGCAAATCACGTGTCAGCCCTGCACACAATGTCTCAGTTCATATCTAGGGATTGCAATAAGAATCTACTGCCAGGTCCTTCTCAAACAACTTTCTGGGCTGAAGCCAGGGGCTGGGGGTACAATTGTTTGCTTACTGGTTTCAGGCTACTTATCTCTCAGAACTCTCAATTTCCTCACATGTGAAGCAGGATTATAAATACTTGATGAGACATAATGCCAGAATCCAGATATCTGAATACTTGATTTCTGTTCTGACACATCCTATACAGGAGAAGGATAGTATGAAGAATATGTGTACAGGGCAATGCCGGAGACATAGTCTTGGTTTCTAGCATGTGATCTAGCTCCCATGGCCCCTACTCTGGTGACTTGATTGGCCCTTGTGCAGACTAAACAGAGTAGCTATTCTCTTGGTCCAAGAGCTACGCTCGACGGCAGGCTTCAGAGGCTTGCTGCACAGATCTTTCTTCAGAGCTCTTTCCTGGCTCCCACTTGGTCTTATGAAGTCAAAAGCAAAAGACTGTCACAAGTTCTATCTTATTGATAGATAAGATTGTTCTATCTTATTGATAGAAAGATAAGGCCCCTCACAGAAGGGTTTTCTGAAGCCTAGTTCTGTTTATGTACATTTCACTTTCCCCTAAAAAATTCCTACCCTGCTGGAATCTGTCTGTTTGACTAACTGCATGTTCTGAAGTGTACCTTTTTATCTTCCAGTCATTTCAAAGCCCTGCCTTGGTAGGAAAGTAGTATGCATACATGTGTTTGGGACAGATTTTTTTTTAATTTTAAACTAATTATTTGAATAATAACATCATGACCTGAATTAGGCAGATGCATAGTGGAAAAAAATAATATACTGTTGTTGGTGTCAAGTTTTTCCTTATACCAACAGTAACACCTTGGGAAGTTTTATTAATGCCTCTAGCCTTTCATTGTAAAATAGAGATGATTATGTTTACCACCTAGGGCTGTTTGAGCATCAAATAAGATAAAGTGTGTGACGATCTTATCACAGTAATTGGCATGAAATAGGTGTTTGATACATGTTGGCACCTTTTTTTCTCTCTTTAAAGTTAACCAACAAGATCCTTTTCTCATCTGATTACAAGTAGTCAGTTTCTTATGAGGGCCATCTGGGAAGTCAGAACTAGAAGCTTATGCTAATTTTATGACCTCATCACATTCTGTCATCAAAGAAAAGAGCACGATCTAGGGCTGATTCCAAACTTTCTGCAGAAATGAATTTTTTATACCTACCTGGTGCTTTGGAGCCATCCTAGGCTATTTAGTACTTGAATGTTTAACAAACTTGCTTAAGGCTCTTAGATTAAACCCGGTGGTTTTTGCTCCAAATTGCTCAGATCTCAGTAGTAGATTTTTGCCCCATGGAAAATCATGGACATTACTGATCTGTAAGAAATAAGTATCATTTTATCTTTGGTTAAGATGGTGTCATTGTCATCATCATGACCTCTCCTAGCTGCCAGGAACTCAACACACTGTTGCTTGGGGTCACAAAGACCCATCACCTGCTCCCAGCCACTCTTTCCCTGACCCTCCCAGACATTACTCCTGGAGCAGGGTGTCACCCGCTGCTTCTCTGGAAGTTGGGCTTGAAGCAGAATGGAATGAACCACTCAAACCAGAAAGATCCCCACTCCACTCTCTTCTGGTTGTATTATGTACCCATAGTTTTTCTCAAAAAGTTCTTGAGAAACGGGGTGAGGAGGTATAGCTAGAAGATTTTTCATGAGCCTCAGGGAGTCAAAATGAAGCCTTTCAATGCCCACATTTTGACTACAAGCAGATGCCAAGCGATGATGGGAGGGAGACTTGGGCAGTCCTCCTCCTAAGACAGCCAGTGCAGTGAAGTTATTGAGAGCATGGGTTTGTAGTTAATTGCTACCACTGTGAGTCTAAAATCTGCATAGATGTGTGACCATAGTCCAAGTCCTGAGCTTCTCCATGCCCCACTTGCCTCCTCTGTGCAATAGTCATAACACTACTCAATTCACGCTGTTAGGAGGATTAAATAAGACAATTAATGTAAAATGTGTACGTAGTATTTGACACTACTCTATAAACACTGCAAAGTAACTTAACAGTGAGGACCTTCAAGTCACATTATGCATTCAAGAGTTTAGAAATTACTGAATGACAAGAATCCAAAGCAGTTTGAATTGGATTATCAAAAAACAAAAGGATAATAGTTTACCTGGGACAAATGTTAATTAAGTAGGGAGAACAACAAAGCATTTTCTCTTCTTATTTAAGTTACGTAAAAGCTTTATTTATTATAATCTTTAACATTTTATCTCAATTAGACATTGGGCCAGTCATAGCCAGGAAGGCAGTGGCTGATTGGATTTGCTGGTGATTCTCAGGCTTGCATTTTCTTATTGATTCATCTCCCTTTACTGTCTTCCTGATTTCCCCCACCATGAAGGAGGATGAATTCACCATGACAGAGAAACAGTTCACTTGCCCCCAGATGAGGCATAGCTTCCCCTGAATGGAACAACTTAAGCAGGTGTACTGGCCTACAAAACTACTGTGCCCTAATGGCCACCTTCCATTCCCTCTGGCTATGACTTATTTCTGTCACCCTGTATTTTGTCCTCTAGGCACAAAGAGAACCATAGCTCATAACAATGGCATATTGTCCCAGTTGCATGTACGTGCCTGTACATTTGCCTCCACACACAAAATAACATGAAAACACAAAGATGTATTTACAGGCATTCACACAAATATGCAAGGTCAGGTGAGAAGTACTCTGATAAACATAAATACCATGTGGCCACATTTAATAGATATAAAAAACAATACTTGCAAACACACTCATCCGTGCCCACTCTCACACAGACACACACAAACATCAAACACACACACACACACACTTTGATCATGTGACTATCCTGCAGGACTGTGGAGTACATATAGTACAAATAGACAATTCTGCTTGTTTTAATCACATTTTTTTTAATGAGATTTCTCTAGATCCCTGGATCAGCAGGACAATTCCATATCCTATTACAATCTGCCAAGATGAAATAGATAAATCTATTAGCCTGCTCTTTGCTTGTTTCATCATTGTGACAGCCTCTCACGGGTCTACATCCATCAAGTTCCCACGCCATTTGACAGGCAAGTCTCCACCACCAAGCTGCAGGTTAATAGCTCCTTAATCTCTATTTAATTGCTCATTAATAATTCCAATACTGCTTTCCTCTGTTAATTGATTAAAAAACAGTCTCAGCGGAAGTGAATAATGAAGTTTGGTAGCAGCCGACTATGGGATGAGTTTTTGTTGTCAAGATAATCAAGAAGAAATAGTGACCAAAACACTCTTTGTTCCATTTGCAGATTTCTATAATGCATGAACTGACAGGGCCTTTGGAATTCAACTACATCAGCATATATAGTCACTACTACAACCAAGTTGTGAGCCACAAATGGTTAAACAGTTTTCTAGGGACAACAGCATTCTGTGATCAAATAAATCTGGCAGATCAGGCATACAAATGTCTCTCACACTTTGGAGTCTTACATTAATTATTGGTATATTAAAAGCTCTGAAATTCTGCAGTTTGAGACATCTCTTTACATTGTTCAGGCAATCTTAACCCAATGTTACCTGGCAATACAATCACATATCTTACTGAGCACCATTTCATTTATCAATTGCCGCATAACGGATTACCCCCAAATTTAGTGGCTTTAAACAACAATGATGGATGATTTTTATAATACTGTGGCTATCCTGTGCTGGAAGGTGGAGGACTGTCTGGCAGTTGATGTTGTCTGGGAAGCCTCACTCCTCTTCTACATGGTTTCTCATCCACCAAAAGCTTTTCTTAAAAGGTGAGCTCAACACAGTGTAGTACTCAATAGGGCAAACAACAAGCACCATTAAGCTACTAAACGCTTAGCCGCAAAAGTCGAACATTACCCTGTCATGTAATATTAAACAAAGCAGTCATAAGGCTAGGCTAGATTCAAAGTGTATATAAGTTGATGTCTCTCTGTGGAAGGGAGGACAGGTAAAGTCACACTGCAAAGAGGCCCTTGGGATGCAGGAAGGAATTGTTGTGGCCATCTTGGAATATAATCTACCACTAACTGCTGAGCAGTTTTTGAAACACAGTTCAGAAAATGCCAATGTAGAACAATTCTTACATTTTCCAGATTAAGATACTGAGACTCATGGATGTAGAATGATCTGCCTAAGGGCACATAGCCAGTAATTAACAGACCTGAAGTTAGAATCTAGTCCCCACACTTCAAATCTTCTGTCTTTGTCATGGTGTTGCCAGAGGATGCTCTACCAATTAGGAGTAGTGTGAATCACATCCAAACACTTACTCTCTGGATTTGGGTAGTTCTAGACCCTGATCTTGGTCTTCTAAACAACTCCAGCTAGACTTGTTAAATCAGGAATAACTCAATAAACCAGAGTTGCAGCTTCTTGTGCTTTTATTCCATGAATAATAGGTTCTGGAAAGAGCCAAACTTGGAGATTGTGAATGGCATGGGTTGGGTGAGCCCTTTCAAAAAATTCTGTGAGATAAAGTAACCTGGATTTTTCCCGCTAATATTTTAGTTATATTTCCTAGATTTCTACTGAGTTCTACACATTTACAATCCATAGTCAGATCTTCACTGACTCCCCCAAGTCCCTGAAAACATAATCTAGCCCAGCTCTTTGACAGCTTATAAGTGAATTTACTTAATGCTCCCCTAAGTTGGCAACTTATTCTAAACATAGCTTTCATGTTATTGCAAAGCTTAAAAGCAAATCCAGAAATAATTACTCTTCCACGAATTTTTCCTAAACTGGTCAAGGTAGGCATGAAAACTTTACCCAGTTCTTGTACCTGAGAATTTAGCTCAATCCCCCTCTACTTTTGTGTCATTATGGCCTCTTGTTTTGCACGCTCTGTAAGATTTTATTGAGTCTACTGAAAATATGTTTGCTGCTTGAATGTATTGTACTTATGTTAAGTAAACCCTCTTTTATTTATCTACAAGGTGCTTGAATTTTACTGTATTATAATGCTAGTACTGTAACTCTTGGACTCGAAGGTATCCCATGAAAAGGGCCACATCTGATTTTTTTTTTGCAGATATCTAAGGTCAAAATCTGCTGCATCGGTGCCTGGAGAATGCTTGGTGGTGACGACTTGATCAATATCTCCAAGACACTGGCTCCTAGCAACATTTTGAATTAACTTGGCTTTAAATGTTCCAGCTCCCTTTGCTCAGGAAAGCTCATGAAAAAGAAACACTAAAATTAAGGCTAATGATTATAGAGAAAAAACATGTAGTACACCTCACAGATAATACATGAGACTAGCTTCATCTTCCTTCTGTAACACGTTTATGATGAACAGAACACAACCTTTTTCTGGATGGCATTTTCAGCTGATGTGTCACAGCATGAAAGGGTCTAAAGATTACATGTACTTCCCATTCTTAGCTTGTTATAAGGCAGGAGGAACAGAGGATGAGGGATTTTGTGGCTGTGATTTTTACATGAAGAGCAGGGATGGGTGTTAGGTCCCTAGCCTGATATTTAAATCTAAGATTACCTGGAAACTAAGCAGGAGAAAGAAAAAAGCAGGCTATATTATAAGCACAGCCAATATCAAATAAACTTTGAAAGACTTCTCTGGAAATGCTGTTAAAATTCAGCTCAAACCTTTATTTGTTTATTTGTTTGATTTTTCCCTGAGACGGAGGCTACAAGAAGCAGAAAAGCAAATACCCTATGTGATGCTTGTATTTGAGAACTACAGAGAGAGGTTAACTGATGAAGTTCAAGTGTCAAGGAGAATACCCACTTTGAGCCACTTCAGATCTTGGGAGGTGCCAATCTTCCTGGGTCCTGATATTAAAGTCCTCAGAGTATGCAGCTAGGTCCAGTTGGCAGGATAGAGCATCAAATGACATTTGGAAGACTGGTCTAATCTGATAAACAATTAAATCACATTCCCCTGAAATTTGCCTTTCCAAATATTGTCTGTACTGAAGTCAAGATAAGAAGTCAAATTGTGAAAATGTATTGGTTTAAAAATGAAATGGCCTCTGATATGCATTGAAGCAATGCCTCTGTTCATTGAGTCACCTTTCTAGAATTCTCTAAGTGTCACCTGCAACCTCTTTTTTTCTCTTTAAACCACCTGCTTTCACATTCACCCACTCTACTTCCTACCTGTCTTTTCTATTTATTGACTCACTAGAATTAGTCACTCATTTTGGTGCTATTTCTGCTCCAGGGTTACCCAAGTTAATATGTATGTAACTGTGGCTTACTTGTAGTTCTTTGAAGTCAGATAAATCAGAGGCAAATGCAGAACCAAAGAAGTGAGGGGACTGATAAGGAGACATCAACGTTAATACAACTTTAAAACAAGGATACTTTCATTTCACTGGAGATTGAGACAAGTTTCCAGTGAAAATGTCAGGATTCATGGAAGCAGGTTCACAAAGGAACTAAGATAAAAATGCTTCACCTTGTTCTTTTAAATAATTGAAACACAGAGGGGGGAAATGGGTGCAACACAAGCTGAGGAAGAGTCAATTGAAGGTGTGTATAAGGGAATGGGTTGAGGGGGGAAGATGATCACACCCTAGGTATCAACTCCAGGGACAAGATCTACTGCACCAACACAACAGAAGTCAACCCAGAAGTACTTGTGAAGAGATTGGATGGATACAACCAGGGTTCAAAACTTTGTAATTTAAATTAAAAAACAATCAACTTTACCTCTTTTTAAAAAAGATGAAATGGACCCACCCAACATTTTCAGTAGGATGAACAGTCTCTTCAAGGCAAGTTACCCTGACAGGCTGCATACTGAGGACTTACTATGAGGTTTATCTGTGGCTACAGCATATGCAACTTCTCCAACCTAAGCAAAACTAGAACAAACACCTCAATAAATAGTAAAGTTGTTTATATTTTATTTAAAGGGATCTTTTTAAACTTTTGATTTTGAAATATGGAGTAGACTTTCTTTTCTCTATTTCTACCACAAAGTGCAACTGAAAAATTTGGACATTATGTGTAAAACAAACATAAGACTGAAAGGCTGACAAAGAAGGCAAGTTGGCTAAAGACTTTGGGACCCAGGAGATGAGACAGTGGTGAGTTTCCTGATTTTCTTTTCACTTTGTGTACTCCAGACTCTCAGCTGAAGAAGTTACCAACTCAGAAGTGCCAATGAGAGCAGACAAAGCTTGCTCTCTCTAGTCAAAGGACCAACAAAGGCATAGTCTAGCAAGACAGAACATGTTTAGACAGTAATCACTATATTCCAACCAAACCCACCCTCAAATACACCAGCAAAGCCAAGTGGGAAGTCTAGACTTTCACTCTCATGATAGTGAAGCACCACAACACCGTTACAGACGACAAAATAGGGAGCTGGGATTTTAGTAGTTGTCTCTCAACAATTAGTATAACTAGATAGAAAATCAAGAACATCATAGAACTCAAAAACACCATTAGAAATAGGAGTGTTCATAGAATATTCCACCCAACAACAGAATGTACATTTTTAAGTGTCCACAGAGCACATACCAAGGTAGATCATAAGATAGGCAATAAAATAAATTTCAACAAATTAGAAAAAGTTGAAATCATACAGAGTATGTTCTTTAAGCACAACAAAATCAAACTAGAAATCAATAACAGAAAGTCAACAAGAATATATTTAAATACTTGGAAACTAAATAACACACTTCTAAATAATCAATGAGGCAAAGAGAAAGTCTCAGTAAAAGTAAAAAGTACATTGAATTGAGATGCAAATGTTTTCCAGGAAGAGGGAACAGTTCTCGCTTTAATGAAGCTATTATTACTCTGATACAAAAACCAGGTAAAGACAGTACAAATGAAGAAAACTAAAGACTAAGATCTCTCATGAATATAGATGCAAACATCCTTGAGAACATGTTAGAAATAGAATTTAGTAATATATATGAAAATTGTTTGTTATAACTAAATGAGGTTTATTTGGGAGTGCAAGGCTGGATCAACATTAAAGAAACAAACAATATAATTCAACATATCAACAAACTAAATATAAAAAGCCATATGATACCATCAATTGATGCACAAAACAAAATTTGTTAAAGTTCAACATGTATTTATAATAAAATATCATCAAGTAAAGAATAGGGTGAAATTAACAAACACCTACAAAAAAACCCTCCAGCAAATCGTATACTGAATGCTTTCACCCTAATATTGAGAATAAGATGAAGATACTGTCATCACCATTCTTATTCATCAGAGTGCTGGAAGTTCAAGATTGTGAAATAAGAAAAGAAAAGTAAATCAAAGTCGTATAGATAGAACACGAAGAAATAAAATGTTTTCTATTTAAAGATAACATAATTGTTTACATAAGAAATACCAAAGAATCTACAAAACAATTGCTAGAACTAATAGTTCAGTAAGGTCACAGAATGCAAGGTAAACTTATAAAAATAACTATATTTTTGTAAACTAGTAATGAATACATGACATTGAAATTAATAAAATCAATACCATTTACCACCTGCAGTTTTAGTAGAGAGACAGACAATGGAAGGGCACAGATAAACAAAAAATAGACCCATATAAATAGGCCCAATTAAATTTTGACAAAACTGCAAAAGCAATTCAATAGATTAGAAGAGTCTTTTCAACAAAATTATGTTGGAGTAATTGGATACCATAGGACAAAAAAGAGAAACTCAATATAAATCTCATTATGTATTTAAATATAAAATGTAGAACTATAAAATTTAAACAAATGAACAGAGATTGTCTTTAGATTCTAGGGCTAAGCAAAGAAGTCTTAGTATTGACAGCAAAAGTATAATCAATAAAATAAGAAAAATAAGTTGGATTTGTTAAAATTACTGATCTTTGTTCTGCAAAAGACCCTGTGAGGAGGATGAAAAGACAAGCTAAACTCTGGGAGAAATTATTTGGAAACCACATATCTCTGAAAAGACTAGTGTCTAGAATACATAAAGAAGAATCAAATGTCAACAGTAAATAAAACCCAATTAGGAGATGGACAAAAGGCATGAACAGACATTTTGTTGAAGAGGAGACACAGATAGCAAATAAGCACAGGAAAACATGTTCAACTTTATTAGTCACTGAAAAATGAACATTAAAACCATAATGAGTTGTTTTAATGGGTACATATTACTATGTAACTATCAGAATAGGTAAAATAAGAAAAGTAGTTACAACATCAAATTCTGGTGGAGATAGAGAGAAACTATGTCATTTAAACATTGCTTGCAAGAGTGTAATGCAGGCATGCTAGGATAAAATGCAAAAGTTTTGTAAAAATCTAAACTAAGCGAGCAATCCCCATATGACTCAAATTCACATTTGTAGATATTTTTTCCAGAGAAATGAAATCATCTGTTTATATAAAAACTTATACATGGGTTTATAGTACCTTTATTTGTAATAGCCAAAAGACTGGAAACAAACCAGATGTCTTTCAGTGAGATGAGGTAGAGGTGCATAGGCAATATTAGTAGCAAATTCTGATGGGAAGCTCAGAATTCCACCTCTTCCATCCTTCATTCTTAAGAGAAAATGTTCTGACATGTCTTAGAAGCAGAATAAAGTTCCTGAGCCCACAGACAGAAGGGCTTTGGCAGAATGGTGGCTGGGGTATAGCAGGGGAGACCTTAATACTCCTCTCTTAATATTTGGATCTACTCATTCAGCAAATGTTTCTGTATTTACTTTTTATTAGCTTTTGTTGCCCTAAATCATGAACCTCTGGATGCCTCTTTCTCAACGTAAACCCACAACTTAATGTCAAGAAGCTATCAAGGTAGGGTTCAGGGGAAGGGAGCATTGGGCAAGCTGCTTAGACAGCTTCTTGGTCATGTAATGAAATAAAAGGGCCAGGAAGGCTATGGAGTCCTAGAATCATGGTGGGAAAACAGACATGCACTTGGAACCAGAGCCCTGGCCAATGGCTAGAGGGCATTGTTCAGTATACATTCTAGGTGGAAAGGGTAGATTACTGTATGAATCTAGCATGGTGTTTGTATTAGTTATTTTCATGTTGCTGATAAAGACATACCTGAGATTTGGTAATTTATAAAAGAAAGACGTTTATTGGACTTACAGTTCTACATGACTGGGGAGGCCTCACAATCATGGTGGAAGGCAGGGAGGAGAGCAAGTCACATCTTACGTGGGTGGCAGCAGGCCAAGAGAGAAAGAACTTGTGTAGGGAAATTCCCCTTTTTAAAACTGTCAGATCTCATGAGACTCATTCACTATCATGAAAACAGGGCAGGAAAGACCCAACCCCATAATTCAATCACCTCCCACTGGGTTACTTCCATGACATGTGGGAGTTGTGGAAGTTACAATTCAAGATGCGATTTGGGTGAGGACACAGCCAAACCATATCAGTGTTCATCTGAGTTATGTGGGATTAGGGTTCTAAGTATCCCATTTCCACTTCATGACACAACTAATGGAGTCTGGAAAGAGGTGTTGAGAAACATGTATGGAGTATGCTAAATAAATCCTATGTTTATTTTAACTAATGTTTCTGAGTTGGTTCCTGTAGTTTTCATGTAAACTGAGTTAGACACCTCAAAGCAGCTGTGATAATAGATTGGAAGCCAATGCAGATAGGGGAATGTCACTTCAGCAACAGCACTAGCATTAGAGAACTTGTGTCCCTGTTAATGTGTCCAAATTTTCACAGATACTATAAATAAAGAGAAACAAATGGAATGATCCCAGAAACTTCTGTTGATTGGCAGTGACTTCTCCTGGAGTCTATGCTTCAGGCATTTTCTTGATGTTTCAGTATCTACTGAACATGATGCAGAACTTAATGCTCTTCAGAACTGGGTACTCCTAGTGTCCAGTCAAGCTTTGTGTTTGATTCACAGGTAGGTGGCAATGTGGAGATTACACCTGTTAGCTGGATGCTATGAGAATCTACCTTTCTGCCTGTTCGCTACAGTGGATAAATTATGTAGGAGAATGTTCTACCCAAGAGCCCCTTAATACACACAGTTTCTCTAAATACTCACACACAGACACACACACACACACACATTTAACACATCTATGTGTACTATATGAATATAATATAAAAACATATGTATAAGCCACATATATAATCATATATAGGTTTTTCTCTTTTTCTAAATGCTTCTAATATATATACATACACACACATATGTATGTGTGTCATATAAATGTAATATAAAAACATATATATGCCATATATAATCTCATATATATGTATATATGCAGTTTCAGGTTTTTCTAAATGCTTCCTATTACAACAACAGGCTCCATAATTTTCTATCAATAAGTTGAGACATGGATGATTATTATCTAGAGTACATTACACAGATATCTATTATATAGATTATTATAATATAGATCTATTATATAATAGCTGCCATTATATAGATCAGAAGCTGGGATCCTCACAGAGTTAAGCAGTTTTTATTGGGTTTCACAGCTCAGTTAAGTGGAAACATGGAGCAGATCCCAAGCCTTCTGGCTCCAAGGGATTGTATCCAACAGTCATGACAATTCTATTTGCGCAGTGTCTGGCACTTTGTAGGTGCTCAAAAATATTGTTGAGTAAATAAGTAAATGTCAAGAAGTCTTTGCATTCTGACCTGATTACCTCATTCTCTCTTCCTTGTTCTGATCTGCTGTGTCAGCCTAACAGGTACTCAATTTTTTTCCTGACGAGGTTGCTCTGTCACCTTTTGCCCGCCCATGGACTTTCTATAGTTTCTTCATCAAGCTCTTTACTAGCCCTGCCAAGGAGCAAATGTTTTTATTGGAACAGCATGAAATGTGACATTACTCGTAGGTTCTAGCAGAAAATTAGTGGTGGTGATAGCTAGTTCAGCACAGCTGGGCGCAATTGTGTCTCCCTCCTGGAAGCAGGAAGCTGAGGGACTGCAGGGAGTTATAATGGTCTAATGACAGCTAATGTTGAGGATGGACTGGAGGCCCATAAATCAATCTGAACAGGGGGATGGCTTAATGAAATGCTCAGTACTTGCTTGCACTCTTCTGAGCATTGTTCATGGGTGTGTGTCTATTAATGGACGCTTATTTTTTGCTACATAAGGGAAAATTATAAGCATTTTTATATAGAAAGTCTCAAAAGGCTAAGACATTTGTAGGTAGGTAGGCACACAGGTGAGGAAATATGAGGTCCACTTTTAGTTTCCAGAGCTCCAAGCTCGTGATTGTTTCATGGTCTGGTTTATCTTACATATTTGCCAAATTATGGATGGCTCTAGTGTCTTTTGTTTTTTTGTTTTTTTTTTTTTCTTTTTTTTCTTTTTGAAATGGAGTCTTGCTCTGTTTCCCAGGCTGGAGTGCAGTGGCACGATCTCAGCTCACTGCAACCTCTTCCTCTCAGGTTCAAGTGATTCTTCTGCCTCAGCCTTCTGAGTAGCTGGGACTATAGGCGCATGCCACCACAGCTGCCTAATTTTTGTATCTTTAGTACAGACAGGTTTTCACCATATTGGCCAGGCTGGTCTCAAACTCCTGACCTCATGATCTGCCCGCCTCGGCCTCCCAAAGTGCTGGGATTACAGGCGTGAGCCACTGCGCCGGGCTGGATGGCTCTAGTTTTTAGCCTTGGTCTAATTTTTATTTTTCTACAATGTATAATGAGGTAGAAGTCTTAAGATAAAAAGAGACTAATGTCTAGTTAAGTCTAACACAATTGCCTCTGTGTTCTCCAGTCCAACCAATATTACGAACAGTTCTGATATCACAACCTTGGAGTCTGTTCTCCTCTGTTTATAGATTCTTTTGTTTCAAATATTTACCTTTTAGGAAGAATCAACATAAAAAGTTTGACGCTAACTATAAATTTTCTACAAAGGTGGGATGTTTCCCAGTTCTCTAAATGGTTTCCTCTGGAGCTAAAATGCTTAGCAACAGTGATGTGGGATCAAAACTCCAGGACTCATTTAAGGCAGGTTCAAGGTGCAGCACCTTCTTTCTGTTCATTCATAGAACTGTTAAACAAGGAGTTGGCACAGCTTGTAAATAAACATGTCTTACATGAATTTTGCAAGTATTACATTTTATATTTCCAGAAATATTGTTGAAATGGTATAATTTTCTCTTTGGGGAAAGAGAAGCACATATATCTTGATGGGATTTACTTGAGGATAATAATTAACAGTCACAGCTTACTATTTTTATCTTAATATTTTTTAATTTTTTCTAATTCTAGAAATTATTATTTAGAAATTATTGGTTTCTATTAATTTTTTCTTCTTTTGAAAAAATATATGATGAGAGTTAGAAAGCTTTAGACCTGTAATGGGTCATTTGCCCAAGGGAATCCTGGAAGGTGCCTATATAGAAAATTATCACAACCACTCATTTACAATTGAAAGTGATATTGAGATCTGCATGAGAGACTCCATTAAAACCTTTCTTGTGATTTTTTGAGTTGGTAGAAGTATCTTCTGAAGTGTGACTACCTGAGTGTTTCTAGAGTATGGTGCCAACTAAACAGTTTGTCACAGAGATTGGAATGGAAAGTGGGAATTGCCGGGGACTATAGTGTTACTCTTCCAACTGCTAATCTACTGGTTTTCAGAGGCACATTTAACACTATTTCTCTGTCCTCAACACAGGACAACACCCACTCTTTGTTACAATTTACTTCAAAGGGAGTAAAAATGAGTTGCATAGATGGATGTTAAGACTAGAGGGAGAAGAGGGTCATGATCCAGAGAAAAGGGCCATAGCTTACCCTAGAAACAAAGCAGAGAAGGAGGGCGAAACTATGCCATTAGAAAAAATAACCAGCAATTTCTTCAAAATCTCTTTCTCACAGCCATAATAATTAGGGGGACTGTCCCTCATGCTGCTGACAAAGTTTGTCCCAGAGATGACCTTTTCATTTTTACCAGCCCTGACTTTCTGCACATTGACTCAGAATCATTCTGTCTGTCAACTGACTGTCTTAACCCTTTTCATGCTCAACTGTTTAGCCTAGGCTCTGCCAAGGATATCATACCAGGTTGGAATGACCACATGTCTTCCTTTAAACTAGACAAACACATGGCTAGCTCTGGCCCCAGGATTTTCTCTGTTTTCTCTCTTATTGCCTACAAATCTAGCTAATTATTATGAGAGATAAAACTGGGAGAAAATTCAAAGGCAGTGTAAGTGAGATTTTTTACTTCTAGGTCTCTAACTTTTAGTTCTATATTGCCCCATAATGTGACAGCTTTTACCTCTGATCATGCTATCCCAGAAACATACTGCAAGTGCTATACCCAGATCTTGGCAAAGGACTTCCAGGGGCAAATGACTTCTAGGGTGGTGAGAGCTGAAGTAAGTGCTATATGACTACTTCTTCAGTAAGTTTCCACTTGGAAAGTTCAATAGATATTTGGCCTCCTTGTTTGTCTTTCACTCAAATGTGGGTCAGAGCTAGGAAACATGCTATGATCTGCACCAGGGCACAGAAGAGGGTACTGGTTATTTTAGGTGCTTGGGTATAATTTATATGTTTTATGATATTACAACTATATCAGTCTTATATATATATAAATTATGTGTGGAAATTATGTACTAATAAGTTATAGGTAGAGTGACTCTCATTCTACATAAAGTCACTCTGCTTATAGTCTGCTATCATCTAATAGTCTACTATTCTGAGACTGAAAATGTAGTATGAATTTCAGATGTGCTTACTGAATCTAATAATGTGTACATCATCCCACAAAGAGAGATGAAGTTTTCTTACAAAAGGCTATGACCCAAGGCCTCCTCTGAAACACAGAAGAAAACAAAGGTTTTCTGGTTATGTATGATTCAAATTACCAGATAAAAAGTGTCAAGAATAACAAACTTGTAATCTTTCTTCAGCTGATAAACAGATGCCTCCTTTGGGTTATTATTAGACTTAGAAAGAAATAACCAGCTAATATTTCTATCAAAGTAAGGCTTTAATGCTCTCACAAGTGCCAGAATCATAAGGAAAATAGTCAGAATCTTTTATTCTTCCCTGAAGTCCCACACTTGGGTGACCTGGGCCATTCTCAGAAATCTCTGGCAAAGCTAGCTAATCGCTGGAGGTCATAAATAAAGACATTGCCACCTGCAAAAACATGTAGCTTCTTCCTGGAGTGGCTGGGAATTGGTGATAACAACCCACAATAACCCTGAGCTTAGGAATGGATTTACATTTTGTTATTATACATTTTGCAATTTTGGCAGTTTTGAAGGTAAAAATATGTCAAAGGGTAATATGTCTCAAGGACAGTCAGTGTTAAATCAATATTAATTAAATAGGCTTATTCTTATTTAACAAAGCACTGAAGTGTGGAGGAAGGGATCCGCTGTGACCATTTTCTGTAATTTTCTTTCACCATCTGTCAGGTAAGGTAAGACCTCCAAATCCCATATGTCAGCATTTAAAAAATATAGCCAATTTTCAGCTCAGGTTGCTTACCTAATGATGTATTTACCATGTCTCAGTCATGATTTACCAGAGATAAAGCCGTATTACTAAGCAGAAAGGAACTGGGAGGAGCACCAACAAAGACAGTAGAACTTTTAAAGCAACAAAAACATGCTGTTTTTAATTATTTTAATAAACTCAGAAACCTCAAAGGATGTGACAGCACATCCTTTGATGTGCCATGAAAAGGATATCTTTGGCCATGAAAGATATAGAAGGAATCATGTATGGATCAGCTGAATTATGGAGATACAGTTTAAATAGTCTTTTAAAAGAATCAATTTTAATCTGTTAGGGACCGGGATTCCTATTCCTAACTTAGCAAGATATAAAGCACATAAAGAAAAATAATCCATGACTGACAGATAAAAAACCATCCTGTGAATTAGTTATGTCCACTCCAGAGTGTAGGTATCTTAATGGGGTGGCCAATAAGATCTGGCCTTTGCTTCTGATGATGTTACTAAAAGTTGGTATTACGGGGTTCCCATAGGGGATAGATCACCAAAGAGCCACCAGACAAAGCTCATTATAATATGAAGTGTTTTTATTATTATTATTTTGTTATTATTATTATTATTTTGTTTACCAACCATGGACCTTCAGATCATTCTGAGCCCTTTTTTCTTTTTTTTTTTTTTTTTTTCCGAGACGGGGTCTTGCTCTGTTGCCAGGCTGGAGTGCTGTGGTGCGATCTCGGCTCACTGCAACCTCCAACTCCCTGGTTCAAGTGATTCTCCTGCCTCAGCCTCCCAAATAACTGGGATTACAGGCACGTGCCACCACGCCCAGATAAGTTTTGTATTTTTTTTTTTTTTTAGTAGAGACGGGGTTTCACCATGTTGGCCAAGGTGGTCTTGAGCTCCTCACCTCCTGATCCGCCTGCCTCGGCCTCCCAAAGTGCTGGTATTACAAGTGTGAGCCACTGCACCCAGCCCATTCTGAGCTTTTTACACAGTAAAGTCCATCTCAAATATCATTACAACCATTTCTCCCACAGCCTCCCATAGTGCTATCTGGGATGCTGATTTAGCTAATGTTGAAGACATGTCTTAATTGAGAAGTCAGGGTACCTTAACTCAGGGCCTGAATTTCTACCTTTCCGTATTTCTTTTGACCTTGTGCTCCTGGCAGCAAATGCATACCAATTTTGGACTCCACTACGTAACTTCAGAAAATTACAAATGTTGGAAGTAATCCAGGAACTATTTTTGTATCCTTATTCCTATCACCATATCAAAGAGCAATGAGATGTAATCCTTGTCATCAGTGGTATTATTATCTGACATAAGGCATCAGATAGTTAAACAAATAAATATAATCACTTTGGTAGGGGCATGCATAAAATTTTTTCGACCTCAGAGGAAATATTTTTCTGCTAAGGTATAGAAACAATGAAATGTAGCCTTAAACATTCTCTACAAATATAGGGTTTACATCACTTCTGAGTTAGACTTGAATTTGAATTAGGACATGGATGAATTTCTCCCTGTCAAGGTATTAACTTTCCCACATGAAAAAAATGTTTTCATGGGGATATCGACTTTTGACATGAATTCTATCTCTAACTCTCTGAGAGTGGGTTGCTCAGCAACAATGTAGTATGTTTTTCTTGGGAGAGGCCCAAACATGTGCTTTTATAACACTCCAATCCCATATTTATTTAGATTATGATAAATGAATTTCTTCAATTATAGTAGTTGTTTTCTCTTATTTCTGCCTAAAATAACCCACTTCAAAAATCAAGGGTAGTTGCCCATTTTGAACTCTATGCTAGAATTTTTCAGGACTGGTGGGGCGCGGTGGCTCACACCTGTAATCCCAGCACTTTGGGAGGCCACGGCAGATGGATCACGAGGTCAGGAGACAGAGACCATCCTGGCTAACACGGTGAAACCCTGTCTCTACTAAAAAAAATAAAAATAAAAATAAAAATATAAAAATTAGCCGGGCATGGTGGCACACGCCTGTAGTCCCAGCTACTTAGGAGGCTGACACAGGAGAATCACTTGATCCTGGGAGAGGGAAGTTGCAGTGAGCCAAGATCACACCACTGCACTGTAGCCTGGGTGACAGAGCCAGACTGTTTCAAGAACAAAAAAAAAAAAAAGAATTTTCAAGTACTTAATTCATTCCTACAATTTATAAATTTTATTGAATACAATGTAGGCTATAAGAAAATATAATGATTTCTACTATATAAATGTACAGCTATCATACTATTTTTGAGGAGCTCTAGTCATCCTAGGACTTATGCTTTAGGACAGATGAGTAAATCACAATGATGAAATTATATGGAATTTCTTAACCAAAATGTTCGAAAAAATTCCAACACTTTATCTTGTTTTTGAAAATAAACCAGGAGGGAAAACTAGCTTTAAAATGCGGATAGAAACTCACTCTTTTCTTATGTCAACTTCAACATTAAGCACTGTACAGTTAGAAACAGGTAAGATAGCCAAGAAGCTGACAATTCTCTGAATATCTGAATATTGCATTTGTATTTTTACTATCTTTAAGAAAGAATTTCAGATTTAGCAAGAATCCAGAAAAAATGCATTTACTTATATTAAATAAGGTCATGAGGGTGGGGTCTAATCTGATAGGGTCAGTGGCCCTTAAGAAGAGGTCACTCCAAATGATGAGAACACATGGACATATAGAGGGGAACAACACATAATTGGGCCTTTCAGAGGATGGTGGTTGGGAGAAGGGAGAGGATCAGGAAAAACCACTAATAGGTACTGGGCTTAATACCTCTGTGATTAAATAATCTGTATACCCATGATTCAAGTTTACCTATGTAACAAACCTGCACTTGTACCTCTGAACTTAAAATAAAAGTTTTAACAAAAAGAACCAAAAGAAAAAAGAAGAAGTAGTTCATCTCTCCCCTTGCATACACTGAAGAAAAGCTACAAGAAAGTGACCATCTGCAGTCCAGGAAGAGGGCTCTCAGCAATACTCAACCATGCTGTCACCCTGATCTCAGATTTCTAGCTTCTAGAATTGTGAGAAAATAAATTTCTGTAGAAGTTATAATATTTTGATATGGCAACCAGAACTGATGAATACACCTTATCTGAAGAAACACATGCACCTTCTTAAGAAACAAGCTCATACCTAGATTTTGAGTATGTGAGCAATTGCAATTCCAAAATCCTGTTGTAAATTGGCCCTCTTAAAGCAACACCCTCCCTTTAACCCTACAGTAGTCCTGGCTAACTTTTATTCATCCTTTATTGATCTGACAACAACTCAGGTGTCTTGAACTTATGACATTTTGTTCCTAACTAGTCCCTTTTCGTGAATAATCACTGATAGGTCAATAAAAAGTTCAGTCTTATATACTGTATACCAATTTTAGGTAATTGATAAATGGGAAATATATCATTATTAAGAGTAAGCAATAGTAAAGTAGTTTTGGTTTATACCTGGCAGATTCCCATTGGATAGAGATATTGGATGGAGACACCTCAATTCCTGAAAAAAAAAAATAATTGAAATCAGGTTCTGAAAGCATACACTACTACCTGAAAAACATGGTCTGAGAAAGCAGAAGCATTTCTTTGGAAAAATATATCATGTTGAATTTTTTTAGAACTTAGCGTATAGAAAAAATAAGTAAATTTAAATCCTTTGGTAATTTAGATATGAAAAGCTTTAATACAGTAGTGGAGGAAGAATATAATCCAAAGATTTAATTTAATTAAAGTGTTTGCTAATTTCTGATTTAAGAGGTTCTGGATTTATAAGCTGAAGGTCCAATTTGTTCTGGGACTATAACTCTGGGGAAAATATACCTATCAGGTACTAAGAATCTTTAAGCCATATTATCTCTGAATCTACTTCCATTTTTAGTTTTAATTATATCCAGCATACCCCCTGGAATATGAAAAGAAGCAAATTAAGGAAGATGTCAACTGAGCAGATATAGATGATGGTCAATAATCCCAAGGGCATACTGGATGAGATGAGTAGGGAATTTAAATAACAATATCAACATTAATCCAAGGTTAACTAGCATGAGGATCCAAAACCAGACAGATGATCTTCTCCCTGGTGTTAATTTTACTTCTTCTGAGTTTCTATTCTCAATGAATTATCTACTTAATTGTTCATCTAGTTTACCTATTTGTTCAAACAAGAAACTTGTCATTCTTAAAATCTAATCCCCACATAGATCAGTCCCCAAATCCTTTTGATTTTTATACTTTGAATATCTCAAAAATCATTCTGCTGCTCAAATCACCTTTTACCAACTAACTTCAAGGTACCATTATCTTTCACCCTGCATCAGTCTCCTTACTATAGTACTGCTGTCTGATCTTGCACCTCTACTCCACTCTCTAAATCTGAGACAGGACAGTACAGTTTTACTGCACAGATCACTGTCATGTTTAAGGCCTTTCAATGTCTTTCTTGTACCACAGAATAAAATACAAAATTCCTATTTTAGTCACTCTTTATTTTATTATATATTGACAAATAATAGTTAGAGATATTTTCATGGTACAGAGTGATGTCATGATTTTTAGATACTATGTGGAATGATTAAGTCAAACTAATGACCATATCCATTGCCTTGAATATTTAACTTTTCTGTGAGGAGAACATTTGAAACTACCCTCTTTGCATCAAAATGTACAGTACTCAATGATTAGCAATATCTACCACACTATGCAATATATCTAAAAAATATCAAACATTCCTCCATCTAACTGAAGCTCTGAACTGTGGGACCATCTTCTCTTCATTCCCCAATACTCAGCCTCTGGTAGCTACCATTCTACTCTCTGGTTCTATGAGTTCAATTGTTTTATATTTCCTGTATAAGTGAGAACACGGGATCTTAGTGTTTCTGTGTTGGGCTTTTTCACTTTGTATAATATTCTACAGTTCCATCCACGTTATTGCAAGTAACTTAAGACTGAATAGTATACTATTGTGGATATATGACACATTTTTTTTCTTTGTTCATTCCTTGATGGCCACTTACGTTGATTCTGTGTCTTTGCTATTGTAAATAGTGCTGAAATGAACATGAGATTGCAGATATCTCGTCAACCTACTGATTTCAAATCTTTCAGGTAAATACCAGAAAGTGGAATTACTGGATCACATGGCACTTCTATTTTGTTTGTTTTCTGAGGAGCATTCATACTCTTTTCTATAATGGTTGTAATAATTTGCATTCCCACCAATCACATACAAAAGTTCCATTTTCTTCACACCATTTCCAACACTTATTATCTTTTATCTTTTTGATAAAAGCCGTTCTAACAGTTGTGAGGTAATATGTCATTGTGGTTTTAACTTGTATCTCCCTCGCGATTTGTGATGTTGAACATTTTTTCATGTTTCTGTTGCCATTTGTATGTCTTTTGAAAAATGTCTATTTAAGCCCCTTGCCCATTTCTTAATTGAATTTTTTACTTTCTATAGTTATTTAATTTCCTTATATATTTTGAATATTAATTTCTTATCAGATGTATGGCTTGCAAATATATTTTCCAAATCCATAGGGGGTTGCCTCTTCATTAATTGTTTTCTTTGTTGTGTAGAAGCTTTTATTTTAATATAATCCCACTTGTACATTTTTGCTTTTGTTGCCTGTGTATTTGGGGTCAAATGTAAAAAAATAATTGGCCAAACCAAAGTCGTATAGGTTTTTCTTTACGTTTTCTTCCTGTAGTTTTACAGTTTCAGGTCTTATGTTTAAGTCTTTTATCCTTTTTTGGATTTGATTTGAAGTTGATTTTTGAAAATACAAAATTTTTAACCTAAGTTACTAAGCCCAAAGTACCTGATTAATTCATCTCACCAGAATCATTCTACGTTACTTTCTTTAGTTTTTCAGTGTGACCCAGCCAAACATGGCTTGACAATCAAATTCTTTTTTTTTTTTTTTTTTTTTTTTTTTGAGACAGAGTCTCGCTCTGTCGCCCAGGCTGGAGCGCAGTGGCGCGACCTCGGCTCACTGCAAGCTCCGCCTCCCGGGTTCACGCCATTCTCCTGCCTCAGCCTCCAGAGTAGCTGGGACTACAGGCGCCTGCCACTACGCTCGGCTAATTTTTTTGTATTTTTCGTAGAGACAGAGTTTCACCGTGTTAGCCAGGATGGTCTCGATCTCCTGACCTTGTGATCCGCCTGCCGCTCGGCCTCCCAAAGTGCTGGGATTACAGGCGTTAAGCCACCGCGACAATCAAATTCTTGAGAGGACTATAATTCTTTGTAACTTGGGCCCTGCTTATAAATTTCTCTGCGTATGTCTCCACCACATCCTTTACCTGTGGTTAACAATGCTTAATTATTCTTCATATTTCAAATCAATGTAACATATATATGTAATAAAATAACTGTATAATTTAGTAGTTATGATTAACTTTCAAGTATGTAGTATAATACTTTTCCCATAATAGAAGCCAGTTAAACAAATATTAATCAAATGGAGTTTTTTTTAATTTGCTGTAAAACTTATTTTAAATAAAGTCCACTGTGAGACAAAATAGAATCAAATTTTTCTTTTGTAATGTGGACAAATGGGATTCATGATTCTTTCATCAAAAATTTGTCATTCCTGCAAACAGCTGATGCTGTGTGACACTAAGACAAAGAGTTAGGGATGAGCTTGGTGTCCAATTTGTAGAGCTATATGATATTCTAAGCAGACAGTCTATATCTAACAGGGTTTTGCTTTTTTCTATGACAGTGATCTTAAAATCTGGCTATCTTCACTCTGTATGTCCTTTGCAGGATGATCTCAGGCTTAGCCAGTTCTTCATGGCTCTCACAACTAAAGGGAGGAATAATGGAGGATAGATACAGATGTAGACATATGAAATTTTTGGGAAATATACTAATGCTCCAGTACTTGATTCAATCCATGACATGCGCTTTTCTAGAAAAAAATTTTTAATTTTGGAGTAAAGTTTTGCCTCACAGTATGATCAAAGCATTTATTGTCACAAATTGCAGGAATATAGCCATGGTGTAACAGCTATCACTAGAAGGAAACAGTTGTGTTCAGTTTGCCTAAAGGCATGGTAAATTCTTATACCGATTCCCATCTTCTATCAACTCTTTCATTGTGTCATTTAATCAATGAAGAAGTTAGAGAAAAAAAAGAAACTATTAGTAACAAATAAATTGTTTTACAACAAATAAAATCTTTTAGTAATAAATAAAATGTTAGATATGATTTTTTAAGTAAAATAAATTAAGACAAAAGCTTGGATCCCAGTCAATTTGTAGAGAAATAAAAGTGAAGGAACTAAAGAATTGTAGCCTAAAAAAGCACGAGAAGCATTGACTCAAACCCAATAAGAGTCCAGAGCTAGCTATCTATGAGAATAAAAGCCATTGAAGAGAAGTGTTATAAGCCATTACAAAATCAAACTAATAATATAAGGCATAGAACTTGGAAGAAACTTTGGGAAAAGTATACAAAGACTAATTTCTCTGACTTTCATAGAAGGAAAACAAATGCTATTATCCCAAATTTAAACATGATCTTAACAAACAAGCAATGATTTCAGCTTCTTCGTTTTTGTCCATATCACTTCTTAAACCAAAAAGGAAGCTTTTATAAAATAATGTCTTTCTAGGGAAGAAATATTTTTTTGAAGCTTGGAGAGCCCTTTGGTTTCATATAAGCATAATTTTTACTATTGCATTCAAGTAAATTCTCTCTTTGTCTTTATATTTGCATTTGTGCAATCTAGAATGATATAAAACGAATATTAATATGATTTTAGGGGATATAAGAGTGGTAGGCTTTTGCAAGAGGGGAGGAGACAGACAAAGGACAGCTTTGGTTTTATTTCCCTAATTTTCCATACTGATTTTTGTGATATTATATGCAATGCATGAGTATATGTCAACAGAGATTATCTGAGCAGATAGCCCATAGCCCATATATTATTCTTATCTTTATACAACTTGTATTATAAGTATACCAATATATGTAATCATTAGATCCTTTTAATGAAAAATATATGCAGATGTAGAATATAATAAAAATAAAATTAAGTATAAATTTAAAATACTGCAATAGGCCGGGTTCAGTGGCTCATGTCTGTAATCTCAGCACTTTAGGAGGCTGAGGACTTGAGATGAGGAATTTGAGACCAGCCTGGCTAACATGGTGAAACCCTGTCTCTACTAAAAATACAAAAACTAGCCAGGTGTGGTGCACTTGTAATCCCAGCTACTCAGGGGGCTGAGGCAGGAGAATCACTTGAACCTAGGAAGTGGAGGTTGCAGTGAGCCGAGCGTGCCACTGCATTCCAGCCTGGGCAACAGAGCGAGACTCTGTCTCAAAAAAATAAAAAATAAAATAAAATAAAATAACACAATAAATAAGGTATAAAATTAAAAGTAAACACATTAGCATAGATTTTGTATGGTCAGAGGGAATGAGTGAAGAGCTAATATATTTTAGCATATTATATTTCATACATAAAATATATATTTTATACTATGCCTATATATACAAATATATAAAACACATGCTGTATATAAAAATATAATATTTTAGGTATGTAGGAATTTTAATCTCTTTCAAGTTACTGATATACAAATGAATAAAATGACATAAGTGCACAAACATATAATGTAGAAATAACATGCAAAGGCAGATATAAGTAAGTACGTATTAAAATTTTAAATAGAAAAAGAACAAGTAAGACAAAACCAGACTAAATCTAAAGATTTAAAGATTTAAAAGAATAAAGAGTTAAACCAAAACAGAAATAAAGGGAGAAATATTTACACAAAGAGAATGTTAAATATTTTCACAAAGTGAAAATTAAGTTCTTGTAAAAAGTTTTTAAAAGTTACTGACAAATGTAAAGAAAAGACTAAAAATATATTAATGAAAAACATGCTGAAAAGTACTAAAATTATGAAATCACATAAAGGAGAATGATTAGTTAAACTTAAAAAATATATAGAAAAGATGTTGAGAATTACATTTATGTTGATTGATAAAGTTAACTGAAAGTGAACAGCATTCCAAAATGCCCAGAGCTCACAGGTTTGGATAATAAACATGCTAGATATTTGCTTTTCATACTGATAATGAATAAGGACAAATTCAACTTTTACACTTTATTTCTGTGTCACAGTTGCTCAAACAAACAAACAAACAAAGAAACAAACAAACCCAAAATGCCAAAAATGCATTTAAGAGAGAAAAAATTAAAAACAAAACTGGAAAAACAACAAAAATTACTGTTTGCTTCTATGCTAGTTCTGGAAGCCCTGATTCAGGTAATAATCAATACTTTCAGTAGAGGAAATGAAAGAAAACATGCAGAAGAAAAATAAAACATGTTTTAAAGTCAATAGTATAGTGAAGTGTTGTGAAATGTCAAAATATTAAACCACAAAGAAAATGAGATAATGGCGAGATAATGACAATAACATTTTTTTAAAAGCTAAATTACTAAAAATCAAATAGTGGTAAACAGTAAGTGCTTAAAATTAAATAGGTGACAGGTGGTTGAAAGCAAAACATTAAATGAGGCAGCTGGCCAACGTGCAAATTTTAACAGCTTACTAGTAGGATAAAAAAAATAAAAACAAGACAAGGATGTGTTATTTTAGTTTCTTTCTATGGAAGTTGATGGAAGCCATGAGTATGGGCTCTATGGATTGAGGGAGCTGGGACAGAGCTCAGTTTATTGAAATAAGAAAGGGGTGAGGAAGAACAGTGAAGTCAACAGCATGAAGGCTCAAAGCTGCATAAAAATTAGTTTGCAAGAATGGAAGTTTCAGTAGCTAGAATAGAAAACACAAGTATCCACAGGAGAATTTGATACAGAACAGATATGTCTGCCAGCAGGTGTTATTAAATAGTCTTCTCTGTGGTATGAAATGGAGTCATTTGTCTTTCTCACTCTGAACACACACACACACACACACACACACACACACACACACACAGAGAGAGAGAGAGAGATCACTAATGGTTTGGATAATGGGTGTGTTTGGAGATACTAAATACTCAGTGCTTTATGTGTATTGTCTCTCTTCAGTCCTAAAGAGGGAGACATTATTACTTTCCCCATTCGTAGAATGAGTAAACTGAGTTTTAAGTAGGTTAAATGGTTTGTACAGGATTACAGAATTAGAGAATGAAAGAACCACATGGCAAACCCATGTAGTTTGTGCCAAATTTATACTCTTCTGTGTCATAGCGGTCCTTGATTGTGAGGTTCATTCAAAGCCAGCAATCAGGCAAAACCAGTCAAAGCTTACAGTTAAGAATTTGAAGACCATTTTACTATTATCACCCCTAAAACCCCAAACCTAACAGGAATTCTATTCCTGTTTCTAACCAAAGATGAGGCAAGAAGATATTCAATGTCTCCTTAAGAAATTTATATCAAGATGTTGATTTAAATACTTAAAGTTTCAGTTTCTGTGTTTTCTTTCCCTCCTCGGTTCCTCCATCATTGCTGGGAGGGAATGCTGTCTCCAGGATACAATGGCATAAATCAGCATGGCAGATATAAAGTCTCAGCTACTAGAAGGTGCTCTCTTCTTTGAAAGCCTAAGAAAACAGAAGGTCGGGTTGCTTCTTCACTTGGCATCTTCCACATCCTTTAGAGAATTTAGCAAATTAGCCAGGATTGGAAAACCTCCAATGACATGGTGGTTCATTTCATTGCAGATCAACACCCCCTATAGTTAGAAGTCATTTTTCCCAACTGTATCCAACTCTTTGGCTGCCGAGATGGATATGCCCCTTTGTAGGAAAGTGAATTTGCTTTCTTTCCTGATAGCTGCTTCCTCAACCTGCTGGCTGGGTGTTAAGTGACTGCTGTCTCTGAAGACTCCTAGGGTTTGCTCACTTGCTCTATGGTTATGTCTAACGAGGTATGTAAAAGCAAATTAAGAGGAAATGAATTGCATAGGAAAAGACACAAAAGATGCAGCAGAGAGAGATCTTTCTAAGTTCTGGCTCATCACAGTGCCTGTTAATCACAGTTTGCAGGCCCCTACACCTAGCACTGCCCATACGACAAAGTTCAGATTCCTTATCTTGGCCTGTCGTGGCCATGCATGGCCTTCCATGATTTGCTGCCTTCATTTCCATGTGTGCCTCTTGACGATCTACCAGTGTCTTCAACTCTGGATTTCCCCACCATACCCCACTTCTCTTACTTCACCCTCTTCCCTAACATAATTCCCTATGCATGTTCTTCATCCAGTTTTTATTTTTGTTGTAGATGTGGTAGCTCATTCCCAGGTGAGAACCTCACACCTGGCAGAACAGCTTGTTCAATATGAAAGAATCCTGTCCTGGGCTCTCAGGACGTGACCTGTGTTTCAGAATAAATAATGCCTCAGAAAGCAATTAACAATTCTCTTCAGCAGGGGTAGCAGTGGAGAAATGAATACTTCTAAGTTGTTCGTCTGGAGACTGGTGCTCCTACCCCTCCTACTCCCCATTCCCTTGACAAGGAGAGCTGGACCTTTCAGCCAGGAGAATCAAACACTGTTTCCTAGGTTTGAGCCCCATCATCAGGGCCTAAGTGGCAAACTGAACCCAAACACCTGCACAGAAAACTTGTTTTTATGTTAGAATGACTCCCTCTTTTATAGGAGAGTTGCAGAGATTTCAGAAATGGCATTAAATCACAGAGTGCCTTGTCTTCTTTTCCTTTTACTATTATGACTTTCTCATTCTGTTAGGAGGAATTGCTGACCTTATGTAACAGAAACTACCACCCAATCTTGAAAAACAATTATTCTTCTTTGTTTTTCTTTTTTTCCTTCTCCTTTCTATGCTGAGCTTTTACTAATGCTTTAATAATGGTTAACTTGATTCATGTGCTTTCCTTAACGAACTTCAGAAATTGGTCTTGAAAAGCTAAGCATAGAGTCAAGGCTATCCCACCCCAGGAAGAGTGCTGAGAAGTTAATCTGTATTTCTGTTGCAACCAAGCTGACATCACCAGACCAACAGATAGCCATTTGCTCAACATGGTCATTAAGACCAGATATATTGACCTGCATGTAGTCGACCCCTGCACATAGTTTCTCCACATCCCCATTCCCATAAAAACCCTCTGGCTAGCCTGAAAAACTTCAGATGGTCTCTGTGACACTGTCATCCATCTCCTCAAGTTGGTGACTCTTGAATATACTTGCTTTTCCTCTTACTAACTCGTTTCTTGAGTTTGGCTTGCAAGCAGCAAACAGCTGAGCCTGGGTTTGGTTATAATTTATGGTACCCAACATGGGGCTGTGAGCCCTATGTGGTCTAGCCTGCCTGCTTTCCAACAGTCAGAGCAATTGACTGCAGCATTGCACCAGGGCTTACCCATTCACACTATAGACAGAGCAATAATTGCTTGTGAGTGCCAGCTGCTCATGACTAGCTGACCTCATGGCTGGGATTCCAAGGATGTTCCACCAGCTGCCAAGAACTGTCTCAGGGATTTTCCCTCCTCTCCACTTTGTAGCATCAGCTGCCTCCAACACTTAGTTGATACAAGAAAAAGCAGTATCTGGGGAGTTGATGGGCTTCAAGATGGAGTAAGTAATTTTGCCATGTACAACTGGTAACTTTTTTTCCCTCTGTTTAGGCTTTTCATCGGAATAAACCATTGTGTTTTTGTGTTTGGTTGGGGTGCCCTGTTAGAAAGCAAAATAGTTGTTGGACTTTTATGTCATTTGAGAGTTGGTTCATTTGCATTTGTCTGTCAATTGTCTTTGTGGGCCCTGGAAAAGTTCAAAGGCACACCAGATTTTCTGAAACTCGGTTACTTATTATGGCCCATTTTCGTGCACAGTTTAATAATAATGGCCAAATTACAGTAAGGAAAATTCAGAGCTCAAATGGTTAACTTGCAACTACAGAGCTAAGTAGAGTCATCTAAAGCTGTCTGTTTATTTCTCACTTTCTTTTTCTGCCTGATCTGGATCTGCTGTTATTAAGCTACTGGTGTTGAGATAACCTCTTTATGGTACTAGTAATCAAGGTTATTTGGAGATTTTGTTTTTCTTATACAGTTCCAACAGTTCTATCTAAAATGTAAACATTGGAAACTCATTTGAAACTGAAGGGAAGAAAAGAGTAAAAGAGATTTTTTTTTGTTTTTGTTTTTGTTTATACTGCCATGAAAACTGCTTTACCCCAAATTTTGGTCCACAACTTTTATTGGATTACCTATTGGGGCAAACAAAATTAACCAAGGAAACAGGTTCCAATTTGGTCGGAGACATAATTGAATTTAGCTATCTTTTGTAGGCTGGTGAGTTCATGATGCTGTCCTATGGATAGAGTTCCAAGGTAAAAGCTATTGGATTTTTGTTTGGGGGTGTGTATACATGTTTAGATGTGTTTTTGTGTATGTACATGTATTATGTTATGTGTTATGTGTAGCATACTACCAAACTGGCTTATAAGTAAATGAGTACTCATAAATTAAGTCCAAATGCTTTTCAAGTTCACATGAATTTAGTAATCTTTGATAAATAAACTTGATTTAAAATTATTGGTAAAATAAAAATAGAAATGTCTTTAGAATTGTTGGCATACATTTTTTGTCTGAGTTTACTGGTTAGATAAGTTTTATGTTTGCCTCTGCTACATATTTTAAGGTATCAGGGTTTGATACAAAAGTTTAAGGCTATAAACCCAACTAAAAACATAATAATCTTTGTTTGTGTGATTTTTCTTGAAAAAAATAGTAATTTAAGTTTGTTGGTTCAGTGACAACAGCTGAATATTCTGAACTATTGTTAAAATGTCCACATATTTAACTTTAAGGTTCTTAGATGAACCCTTGATGTTCACAGACTTTAAAAATGGATACTAGGGAAATTACTTTAAATGATGACTAGTTTTGCCTAATATCTCAGTTTTCAGAAGTAATTTTTATAAACTGTTAAAAATGAAAGAATTGGGGTACATGAAAATGAGATAAATGCTTGTAGGTGAACTTTTTATGTAATTTAAAATTTTTTAAATATTTTAAACTGAATAATAGGTGCTCATTGGATGTCTGGGTCATGTCCAATTAAGACAGTTATGATATGGAAAAATATATTTACAAAAATTATGGAGTTGTTTCATCTATAAAATGCAAACATCTGAAACATCTGATAGTTTAGGATTTCTTGCTTCCTAGGTTTTCACAAAAATTTAAAATTACTAAGAATAAGAATTCCAGTTAGTGTATAATTCTGTAAGTTCTGTTCTTATTGAGAAAAAAATCACTTTATGTAACTTGGATGTTATTCTGAAATAATGTGTGAAAGAAGATAAAAGATAAATAGTAAGTACAAAAGAGAGATGTGAAGAAAATTGTTTATATGAAGATGCAGTTTTGGTAAAGAAGGTTTTTTTAAATAGAATAATTTTGTATGAGAAAGAATCTTATATGTTAAATTTTTGTCCTAAAATAAAATAACTGGTTATTTAGAAAAGAGGTAAGTGTATGGCAAATAAGAAAGTTCAAGCATGTTGTAGATAGTCTGAGTAAGTCAGGATAAGGTTTGTGGAAAGATAGTTTTTTAAAAAAATATTTGTATGTGATAAACTTGGCTATAACAAAAAGAGAATTATTTATAATTCTAGAAAGACTATTATAGTCTTTCTAAGATTGGTCACTATGTTAAAACAAGGTTTTCTTAAGGCATTGATTTATTGTTAATGAAACTATAAGAAGTTTTAATTTATAATTCTGTAAACTGTTTTTTTTTAAACTTCTCAGATTCATATCTCAGAAGATCAATTTTTGCTGTGTCTCACTGCTTTCAACTTTTTCTCCCTAGAGGTGCCCAAGATGGTAACTCTCTCCTTCAACTTTTTTACCAACTCCTGTAATTTTTTTCCTCTAGTTCTAACTATTGTTGTGGCCTGATGCTGAAAGGTTTTATCTTAAAAGTCTAGAAGAGCAATGTTTTCCTCTAGTATAACTTGATTCTGTATTTTTGACTTTTCTTGATATATGTAATTTTTAAATGTAATCAGGAAACTTCTCACACTGTTACTAAGAGTTATGTATTCCCCTGCTATAATTATAACTTTGAACACACTCTTCTTGTGCCTGATTAAATTCAAGTACTTTTTTTCATCAGGTTTGCCTTCCAGGTTATCTAAATGGGCTTCCCAAAAGGAGAAGCAATCACAGTGCAGAAGGTTTTTTGTTGCCTTTTTTGGTAACTGGCTTAAGAGAAAAGATTTTACATTTTATCAAGAAAATTTCCATGTTGTCTTTATTCAATTTTTTTATTACTTAGGAGGACTGGAATTTAAAAAATTAAGATTCTTACATCCATATAACTTTCTATTTTGCCTTTGAGGTTTTAAAATTATCACTATTGATTAAATGAATGACTACTATTTATAATATTTATATATATAAAAATTTATAATAACTTGTGATTTGATCAAATATTTTGAGCCTTTTAACATCTTTGATAAACACCATCAAAATCAAAATTCTAACCTAAATTTCTGACCTAGACTTACACTGGGGACTTATCAAAACCATAAAAATTAATCACTGCAAAGTTATAGAATTGTTTTACAACTTCCAAATGGAACATTGACCCCAGTATCACCACCTTCAGTCCCTTGAAAAGGTCCTTACCAGGTGCTATTAACTAATCCTGTGCTATTAAGTTACAGGCTTTTGAAACCTCAATATACACGTCTCATCTAAAAAGGCACCATCTGCTGCCAAATCTTGAATGTGATGTCATTATCTGACACCAAACTCAAAGTAACCAAAGCCTTGTCTCCAGATCTAGAAAAAGGCAACATTCAAAGTAAATTGCTTTCACAAAACGTGGGGACAGGCCTATAATAAAAGACATTAAAACTCATTTAATAATTTTGTCTCCATCTGAATCCTTGATACCAGATAATTTGAATGTTTAGCTACCTATGAGCTTCCTCTTCCTGTCATTCTTAGAACTAGGCAGGGCTTATAACCTTTTATTTTTTGTTTGAAATGTTGCTAATTCTTCATATTTTGTTTTATCTCCAAAATTTGAAACTATTCAATCCCTCCAGACCCAGGGACAGTTTTGAAAGATAAAATTAATTTAGACCCTCCAATTCAGAAATGGTACACAGATGCCTAAACAGCTGATGGCTCAACACATAAAACTTATAGACAAGTCAATATTTTAACTTTCCTTTTTTGGCTGTTGGTTTTTGGCTCTTATGTTACTTAAAAGGGTTTTGAGGATTAAAGTCCACTTTTGTTCCCATCTAGCCTGGAATAATTAATTGGCTGTAAGTCTTTAAACTCTAAATCCCTTGGCCATAGGAGTCCCACAGAAGAATGTGATAGATCAGGGGAAGGTAGTCACCCCACTCTCACATCAATATAGGACAAAATAAGAGCTTGGGCATCATTTGTTGACAAAAAAAAAGGAAAATATAAACAAAAACTACAGAACAAAAGAAAGTATTTGCAAACTATGCATCCATCAAAGATTATAATATCCAGAATGTATAAGAAACTTAAATTTACAAGCAAAAACAACCCCATTAAAAATGGGCAAAGGTCATGAAAAGACACTTCTCAAAAGAAGACATATATGTGGCCAACAAACATATGAAACAATGCTCATCATCACTAATTATCAGAGAAATTCAGATTAAAACCACAATGAGATACAATCTCACACCAATCAAAATGGCTATTATTAAAAAGTCAAGAAATAACAGATGCTGGCAAAGCTGTAGAGAAAAGTGAACACTTATATATTGTTGGTGGGAATGTAAATTAGTTCAGTCACTGTGGAAAGTAGTTTGGAGGTTTCTCAAAGAACTTAAAACAGAATTACCATTCAAACCAGCAATCTCATTGCTGGCTGGATACCCCAAGGAAATTAAATTGTTATGCCAAAAAGACATATGCACTTGTATGATCATGGTGGCACTATTCCCAATAAAAAAGACATGAAATCAACCTAAGTGCCCATCAATGGTGGATTGGATAAAGAAATGTGGTACATATACACTTTGGAATACTAAACAGCTATAAAAAAGAATAAAATCATGTCCTTCACAGCATGGATGCAGCTATAAAACATTATTCTAAGTGACTTAATGCAGGAACAGAAAACCAAATATTGCATGTTTTCACTTATAAGTGGCAGTTAAACACTGAGTGTGATGGTTAGTACTCAGTGTCAACTTGATTGCATTGAGGGATACAAAGTATTGATCTTAGGTGTGTATGCCAAAGGAGATTAACATTGGAATCAGTGTGCTGGGAAAGGCAGATCCACCCTTAATCTGGGTGGGCCTAATCTAATCAGCTGCCAGCATGGCTAGAATATAAGCAGGCAGACAAATGTGAAAGGAGAAACTGGCCTAGCCTACCAGCCTACATCTTTCTCCTATGCTGGATGCTTCCTTGCCCTTGAAAATCAGACTTCAGGTTCTTCAGTTTTGGAGCTTTGACTAGCTCTCCTTTCTCCTCAGCCTGTAGACAGCCTATTGTAGGACCTTGTGATCGTGTGAGCAATTAATAAACTCCCCTGTATATATATATTTATATATATATTTCATTTCTTCTGTCCCTCTAGAGAACCTTGACTAATACAGATTTTGGTACCAGGAGTGGTTCTAGAGGAATTGAATATTAAAAATGTAGTTCTTTCATTGGTTTTAGGGTTTCTGGAGTTGGCTGCTTAATGTGATTACACCCAAAAATGCTAAGGACTCTACCTTTAATAGTATGGAGAACACTGATAGTCCTTGGTGTGAACTGTTTAGAGAGTTATGCAAAATAAAAGCCTTTGACACTACTGATTTATTGCTCATAAGAGGCAAGGAGTTTAGTAACATAATAACTTTGACCATATGTGGAGAACCAGGGAACATAATGAAGCTGGTTGGTTGCTCCTAAGTTCAGTGGACAAAGTGATGAAAGAAAATGATGAACTCGGGGATTCTATTACCCAGCTTCAGAAACAAATACTGAGCCTCAAATCTGATTAGATTGCCCTGAGTAAGAGTCTCATCTGTAGAGAAAGAGATGAAATTGAACAGACACTGGCTCTTATCATGTGAGTGGTTGAAAGACACAAGCTCTTATCATGCAAGTGGTTGATCTGCAACAAAAGGTGCATGCACAGCCTCTCCAGGTGTCTACTGTTAAAGTGAGGGCAGTGATTAGAAAAGAATGGGACCTTGCAACTTGGAATGGGAATGTGTAGGAGGACCCTGAAGAAGCTTGGGACACTAACTCTGCAAACTCTGATGAGTCTTCATTGCCAGAAGAAACAGCTTCCCCATCCCCAGTAGTGGCAACATCCCCTCCCCAACCCATACTGCCATCAGCTTTTCCACCTTTGTCTGAGGAGATAAACTCTGTGCTGCCTGAGGCAATGGTGATGGCCTCCACTGAGGTAGTTGCAAGGCAAGATAATGTTGATTTTCCTCAGGAGTCACCCCCAACACCCCTGTTTGCTTTTAGACCTATAACTAGACTAAAGTCCTGGCAGACCCCTAGAGGTGAGGTTGACAGTGTGACCCATGAGGAAGTGCACTACACTCAAAAAGAACCACTTGAGTTTCCTAATTTATATAAACAGAAATCTAGAGAACAGATTTCTCCAGATGAGAATGGATATTAAGGGTGTGGGATAATGGTGGAAGAAACATAAAGTTGGATCAGGCTGAATTTATTGATTTGGGCCCACTAAGTAGGGACTTTACATTTAATGTTTCAGCTTGGGGAGTTAAAAAACATTCTATAGTTTATTTTCTTGGTTAGCTAAAATGTGGATTAAAAGATGGCCCATTGTGAGTGAACTGGAAATGGCTGATCTCTGTTGGTTTAATGTAGGGAAGGGATTCAAAGGCTTAGGGAGACTGGGATGGTGGAGTGGATTACTCTCTTTAGAGCTACTCATCCCAGCTGGGAGGGTCCAGAAGATATACCCTTGGCCAATGCCTTGCAAAATAGATTTGTGAGGGCAGCATCTGCATCTTTGAATAGCCCTGTAATTGCTCTTTTTTGTGTGTCAGATCTAACAGTGGGAACTGCAGTCACTCAACTACAAAATTTGAATACAATGGGAATAATTGGATCCTGAGGTGGCAGGGGCCAAGTGGAAGTACTCAACCATGAAAAGCAGGGTAAGCGCAGCTACCATAATGGACAGCAGAGGCAAAGCAGCGTTCAGAATAGCCTGACTCATGTAGAGCTCTGGCACTGGCTAATTAATCATGGTGTTCCTAGAAGTGAAATTGATAGGAAGCTTACTCCATTCTTACTTAATTTATACAAGCAGAAAACTTCTAGGTTGAATGGACAAAAGACTAATTTGAATTGTAAAAACAGAGAATCATGGCCCCTCAATCAATTTCCAGACTTGAGCCAGTTTACAGAGCCAGAACCCGTTGAATGAAGGGGAGGCCAGGTCTCCTTGAGAAAGGACCTCACTACACTACAGAAAATTTATGCAATGAACCTTTCTCCCATCCTTTCCCAAGGAGATCTCCCAAGGAGATTTACTGGAGTAATTGAGCAATGGGGAAAGGGAAATGATCAGACATTTCAAAAACTACTGGAAATTGGCTCTGAGCTGATGTTGATTCCAGGGGACCCAAAACATCACTGTGGTCCTGCAGTTAAAGTGGGGTCTTATGGAGGTCAGATAATTAATGGAGTTTTAGCCCAGGTCCAGCTTACAGTGGGTCCAGTGGGTCCCCTAACTCATCCTATGGTCATTGCCCCAGTGCCAGAATGCATAATTGTCATAAACATACTTAGTGGCTGGCAGAAACCCCACGTTGGCTCCTTGACTGGTAGGGTGAGGGTTACAATGGTGGGAAAGGCCAAATGGAGGCCATTAGATCTTCCTCTACCTAGAAAAATAGTAAATGTAAAATAATGTCACATCTCTGGAGGGATTGCAGAGATTAGTGCCACTATCAAGGACTTGAAAGGTGCAGGGGTGGTGATTCCCACCACAATACTGTTCAACTCTCCCATTTGGTCTGTGCAGAAGACAGATGTACCAGATATGGTTTCATTTCTTTTTAAACACATTTCCTGGTACCTGGTATGCAGCCATTGACTTGCAAATGCCTTTTTTTCCATTCCTGTCCATAAAGCCCACTAGCAGGAATTTGCCTTCAGCTGGCAAGGCCAGCAATATACTTTTACTTTCCTACCTCAAAGATATATCCACTCTCCGGCTTTGTGTCATAATCTTATTTGGAGAGAACTTGATTGCATTTTACTTCCACAGGATATTACACTGGTCCATTACATTGATGACATTATGCTGATTGGATCCAGTGAGCAAGAGCAAATACATTGGACTTATTGGAGAGACATTTGCATGCCAGAGGATGGGAAATAAATCCAACTAAAATTCAGGGACCTTCTACTTCAGTAAAATTTCTAGGCATCCAGTGATGTGGGGCCTGTCAAGATATTCCTTCTAAGATGAAGAATAAGTTGTTGCATTTGGCCCCTTTTACAACCACGAAGGAGGTACAATGCCTAGTGAACCTATTTGGATTTGGGAGGGAACACATTCCTCATTTTGATGAGATACCTGGCCCATTTATTGAGTGACCTGGAAGGCTGCCAGTTTTGGATGGGGTCCAGAACAGGATAAAGCTCTGCAACAGGTCCAGACTGCTGTGCAAGCTGCTCTGCCACTTAGGCCATATGACTCAGCAGATCCAATGGTGCTTGAGGTGTCAGTGGCAGATAGGGATACTGTTTGGGGCCTTTGGCAGGCCCTGATAGGTGAAACACAGTAGAGGCCTCTAGGATTTTGAAGCAAGGCCCCACCATATTTGCAGATAACTATTCTCCTTTTGAGAGATAGCTCTTGGCCTGTTACTGCACTTTGTTGGAAACTGAACGTTTGACTAGGGGTCATCGAGTTACCATGTGACCTGAATTCTCTATCACGAACTGGGTGCTTTCTAACCCATTGGTCCATTAAGTGGGTCATGCACAGCAGCATTCCATCATCAAATGGAAGTGGTGTATATATGATCAGGCTCTAGAAGATCCTGAAGGCACAAGTAAGTTACATAAGGAAGTGGCTAAAATGCCCATGGTCTTCACTTTTGCCACCCTGCCTTCTCTCCACCAGCCTGCTTTGATGGCCTCATGGGGAGCTCTGTATGATTGTTTAACAAAAGTAGAGAAGACTAGGGCCTGGTTCACTGATGGTTCTGCACAATATATAGGCACCACCTGAAAGTGGACAGCTGCAGCTCTACAGCCCCTTTCTAGAACATCCCTGAAGGACAGCAGTGAAGGGAAGTTTTCCCAGTGGGCAGAACTTTGAGCAGTGTACCTTGTTGTGCAGTTTGCATGGAAGGAAAAATGGCCAGATGTGCTATTATATACTGATTCATGGACTGAAGCCAATGGTTTGGTTGGATGGTCAGGGACTTGGAAGAAGCATGATTAGAAAATTGGTGAAGAAGAAATTTGGAGAAGAGGTATGTGGATGAACCATCCTGAGTGGTCAAAAACTGTGAAGATATTTGTATCCCATGTGAGTGCTCACCAACGGGTGACCTTAGCAGAGGAGGTGTTTAATAATCAAGGGAATGGGATGATCCATTCTGTGGACATCACTCAACCTCTTTCCCCAGCCACCCCTGTCATCCCCCAATGGGATCATGAACAAAGCGGCCATGGTGGCAGGGATGAAGGTTATGCATGGGCTCAGCAACATGGGCTTCCACCCACCAAGGCTGAACTGGCTACGGCCACTGCTGAGTGCCCAATTTTCCAGCAGCAGAGACCAACATTGAGCCCTGGATATAGCACCGTTCCTCAGGGTGATCAGCCAGCTACTTTGTGGCAGCTTGATTATATTGGACCTCTTCCATCATGGAAAGAGCAGAGGTTTGTCCTCACTGGAAGAGACACTTACTCCAGATATGGGTTTGCCTATCCTGCACACAATGCTTCTGCCAAGATTAGCATCCATGGACTAACAGAATGCCTTACCCCCCATCATTGTATTCCACACAGCATTGCCTCTGATCAAGGCACTTACTTTGTGGCTAAAGAAGTGTGGCAGTGGGCTCATGCTCAAGGAATTCACTGGTCTTACCATGTTCCCTGTCATCCTGAAGCAGTTGGATTGATAGAACGGTGGAATGGCCTTTTGAAGTCTCATTTACAACACCAACCAGGTGACAATACTTTGCAGGATTGGGACAAAGTTCTCCAGAAGGCTATGTAAGCCTTCAATGAGTCCAATATATGGTATTTTTTCTCCCATAGCCAGGATTCAGAGGTCCAGGAATCAAGGGGTGGAAGTGGAAGTGGCACCATTCACCATCACCCCTAGTCATCCACTAGCAAAATTTTTTCTTCCTGTTCCTATGACATTTGTTTCTGCTGGCCTAGAGGTCTTAGTTCCAGCAGGAGGAACGCTACCACCAGGAGACACAACAAGGATTCCATTAAATTGGAAGTTAAGATTGTCACCTGGCCACTTTGGGCTCTTTCTACCTCTATGTCCACAGGCTAAGAAGGGAGTTACAGTGTTGGAAGGGGTAATTGACCCGGTCTATGAAGATGAAATCAGTCTACTGCTCCACAATAGAGGTAAGGAAGAGTATGCATAGAATACAGGAGATTCATTAGCGCATCTGTTAGTATTACCATGCCCTGTGATTAAGGTCAATGGGAGACTACAACAGCCCAATCCAGAGAGGACTACAAATGGCTCAGACCCTTCAAGAATGAAGTTTTGGGTCACTCCACCAGGAAAATAACCACAACCTGCTGAGGTGCTTGCTGAAGGCAAAGGGAATACAGAATGGGTAGAAGAAGGTAGTCATCAATACCAGCTATGACCACGTGACCAGCTGCAGAAATGAGGACTGTAATTATCTTATTTCCTCCTTCTTGTGTTAAAAACATGTTTGTGCATGTATACACTTGTACTAAGAAAATATTTTCATTTTATTTTCTTTCTCCTTTATCATGTGACATAAGATGATTTATTGACTTCAAATCAGCATTTAAGTACCGTTAACTTTATGTAATAGTACTTGGGTTGGGGATTGGTGCATTTCTGGTTGTACGAAGGATAGTTGTATTATGTTAGGTATAATTATGACCTTATTATTGTCTTTATTTGAAGATTATGTATGATCTCAGGAGTTGTATATGGGTTCAACTTGACAAGGGGTGGACTTGTGATGGTTAATACTGAGTGTCAACTTGATTGGATTGAAGGATACAAACTATTGATTCTGGGTGTGTCTGTGAGAGTGTTGCCAAAGGAGATTAACATTTGAGTCAGTGGTCTGGGAAAGGCAGACCCACTCTTAATCTGGGTGGGCACCATCTAATCAGCTGCCAGCCTGGCTAGAATATAAACAGGCAGAAAAATGTGAAAGGAGAGACTCATCTAGCCTCCCATCCTACATCTTTCTCCCATGCTGGACGCTTCCTGCCCTCAAACATTGGACTCCAAGTTCTTCAGTTTTGGAAGTTGGACTGTCTCTCCTTGATCCTGAGCAAGGGACCTTGTGATCATGTGAGTTAATACTTAAAAAACTCCCATATATATATTATATATATATATATATATATAATTTTACGTATTATATGCCAAATATATATTATACAATTTTATATATTTGTATATGTAAAGATATATACACATATATATATTCCATTAGTTCTGTTCCTCTAGAGAACCCTGACTAATACACTGAGTAAGCATGGACATAAAGATGGGAACAATAGACACAAGGGAGTACTAGAGCAGGGAAAGAGGGGAGGAGGCAAGGGTTGAAAAACTACCTGTTGGGCACTATGCTCGCTACCTGGGTGATGAGATCCATACTCCAAACCTCAGCATCATACAATATACCCATGTAACAAATGTGCACATGTACCTGTTAAATCTAAAATAACAGTTGAAAAATAAAATAAAATCTTCAGTTCTCCACTGACTGGATGAACCCCTCCTTGGCCAACAGAACCTCAGAAATAAAAGCCTTAAAATGTAGTTCCCAATCATGACAGGATGGGAGGTCAGACATACCTCATTGTATCCCCTTCATTTTATGGTTTGGACACAACAACCGATTGGCATGAATGTTAAAACAGAGCTCATAAAACTGACAGAACAGACTCTGTGGAAATAAGATAAAAGATTATAAACAGGCCCTAAGGCCATGCCAGGTAAAGGTTAAGTCACACACCGCTACCCTTAAAAAGTAAACTATGTTCTAACTGCCATAGGTGTTTTCTTTTTCTCTAGCAGCTAAGCAAGCACTGGCTTTGAGGTAAGCAACATGAAAACAACTTGCAGCTCCGCCGGATGCTGACTAACTGACCTTCAGCCTCTGTTCTACTAGCCAGAACTACAGCCTTAATTATACAGGAGACTGATTTCAGTAACTTTCCCCTAATAAAAAGACCAACCACAGACTAGTTCTGGACAGTTTACAGAGATTTAGCACTTACATGCATTTGTGTCCTAAAAAAAAATCTTTTGATCTATAGGATCTAATTGTAATACATTTAAATGTTAAGTCTACAACCCAAAGTGAACATTGGTTGTATGTTACATGTGTTTGTTCAATACACATGTGTCAGTACCATCTTCCTGAATATTCACAGCTCCTCCTATAACCTGTTGAATACGTATGTTTAGCCAATCTGTCATCATATCCCCACAAGAGGCATGGGTACAACTGATAGTGGGGAACAAATCACTATTATTTATATGGAGCCACATATTTTATAGTTAACACCCATCTATCACCTGATTTTAAAAAGACTATGATGGTTGCAGGAATGCCAAATAAAACCTGTGGCATGCCTCTTCCTGCAACTTTTAAATTGTCATCTTGGAGACAACAATCAACAGAAAAAATGAAAAAGGTAAACCCTACTCTAGGAAAAATAAATAAAAGCATTACGAAAATATGTCAAAAAACAAAAAACTTATTGAGATAAAGTGTTGCCGGTTGTCCTGTTGTAAATTAAAATGGCTCCCCCAAAATAGACACAAATTGAGTCCCTTTAAAGTATCATGCAGTAAGCCATTCCAAGTTTCTGCCAAGGTGGGACAGCCAACTGATATGATTAGAAATTTAGCAATTGCCAGATATGTTAAGACTCTAGGCACTGTACTGACTTCTGCTCATTAGTTTGCTTCCAGCAGGACCACTCATCCATGTATGTGGCCCTGCATCCTTTTCAACTGGGAGAGCAGGTCCTCCTGAAGACCTGGAAACACACACACACACACACACACACACACACCAAAAATAGGACCTGAACATCAGCTCACTGCCGGATCAAATGGTTTCATGCCAAAATTTCCAATTCACACCCCCATCCAGCAGGAAGTAGCCAAACTGGTATCGATGCCCCACTTTCCATAAAAATGGAATGAAAAATTGACAATGGGAAATTTGTAACAGAAACTACAACCTTGTCTTGAAAAACAATTATTATCCTTTGTTTTTCTTTTATTACCCTCTTCTTCTTCTGCTGGGCTTTTAATAATGCTTAATTTACGTACTTTGCTTAAAGAACTCCAGGAACTGGCCTTGAGACACTAAGCATAGAATCAAGGTTGTGAAACATTCCACCCTGGGAAGAATGCTGAGCAGTTAATCTGTATTCCAGTTGCAGTCAAGCTCACACCAGTTAGACCACCAGATGGTCCATTGCTCAATATAGTCATCAAGACCAGACATACTGACCTATACATGGTCAAGTCATGCACATAGTTTCTCTATATTCCCCCTCCCATGAAACCCTTCAGCCAGTCTGAAAAACTTGAGATGGTCTTTGTGACACCAGCCTGCCATCTTGTTGGGTTTTCAGCTCCTGAATAAACCTGCTTTTCCTCCTAACCAATCTTGTGTCTCAAATTTGGCTTTTGAGTAGGGAGCAGCTGAACCTGGGTTCCATTACATTTATATTTGGTAGACCAATAGAACACATCCCTTTAACTATTAGAGTTTCTCACCTGGCTTCCACTGGCAGTGGTTGCTTTAATTTTCCCCCACCAGTGGCAGGGCCACCCTCCCAAGTTCCAGAACCGAGCTGAGTCCTGGGAGTAAAGCTGTGGTCAATCTATATAGCCAAGGCCATGGGATTTTTAAAATAAAAAATCATGAAAGATTTTAGAGATATAGAACTGTATGAAAAAATATAAACATCTATGCAAAGCACATTAAGCATAAGAAGTAGCAAATTATTTGAGGTTCTTGTATAAACTTCACCAATTGCATTATTTCAAGGTCATCTCTCCAAAATGTGCCCATTATATGGATTCACTGTTATCACTGTTGGGCCCTTTGTGTCACTGTAAAGAAATAACTGAGACTGAGAAATTTATTTTAAAGTTATTTAAAATAAATTAAGTTTATCTTAATTGGCTCATGCTTCTGCAGTCTGTACAGGAAGCAAGTTGCTGGCATTTGCTTCTGGTAAGGCCTCAGGAAGCTTATGATCATGGCAGAAGGTGAAGGGGGAGCTGGTGTGTCACATGGCAGGAGCTGGAGCAAGAGAGAGTGTGGGAAGGTGCCAGGATCTATTTTGTTTTCTTTTTGTCAGTTTTATTTTTTAACAATATTGTTTTTTGTTTTATTAACTTTTATTTTAGGTTCAGGGGTGCATGTGCAGGTTTGTTATATAGGTAAATTGTGGGTCATGGGGGTTCAGTGTACAGATTATTTTGTCACCAAGGTAATAAGCATAGTACCCAATGGGCAATTTTTTGATCCTCACTCTCCTCCCACCCTCCACCTTCAAGTAAGCCCTGGTGTCTCTTCCTTTTTGTGTGTCCACATGTACTCAAAGTTTAGCTCCCACTTGTGAGAATATGTGGCATGTGTTTTTCTGTTCCTGTGTAAGTTTGCTTAGGATAATGGCCTCCAGCTCCATCCGTGTTGCTGCAAAGGACATGACCTCATTCTTTTTTATGGCTGCATAGTATTCCACTGTGTACATGTACCACATTTTTTTAGCCAGTCTACACTAATGGGCATTTTGATTGATTCTATGTCTTTGCTGTTATAAACAGTGCTGCAATGAACATACCAGTGCATGTGTCTTTATATATGGTAGAAAATGTATATTCCCTTTGCTGTATACCCAATAATGGGATTTCTGGGTCAAATGGTAATTCTGTTTTAAGTTCTTTGAGAAATCTCTCCTATTGCTTGTCTTTGTCTATTTTGTTGAAAATCAGATGGTTCCTTGTGTGTGGCATTATTCTGGGCTCTCTATTCTGTTCCATTGTTCTGTGTGTTCTGTTTTTTGTACCAGTACCATGCTGCTTGGTTACTGTAGCCTTGTAGTATAGTTTGAAGTTGGGTAAAGGTGCCAGGATTTTTTAAATGACCAGATCTAGTGTGAACTCACAGAGCAAGAACTCACTCATTACCAAGGGGAGGGCACCAAGCTAGTCATGAGGGATCTGCCCCTGTGACCCAAACACTTTCTGCCAGGCCCCACCCCCAACACTGGGAATCACATTTCAACATGAGGTTTAAAGAGGTCAAACATCAAAACCATATCTCACACACGCACACTTGTTTTTGTTACTACCATGTAAGTACCCTAAAGAATATGTGCTATTTGGTCGGGCGCAGTGGCTCATGCCTGTAATCCCAGCACTTTGGGAGGCCGAGGTGGGTGGATCTTGAGGTCAGGAGATTGAGACTGTCCTGGCTAACACGGTGAAACCCCATCTCTACTAAAAATACAAAAAAAAAAATTAGCCAGGCGTGGTGGTGGCCACCTGTAGTCCCAGCTACTCCGGAGGCCGAGGCCGGGGAATGGTGTGAACCCAGGAGGCGGAGCTTGCAGTGAGCTGAGATGGTGCCACTGCATTCCAGCCTGGGCGACAAAGCGAGACTCCGTCTCAAAAAAAAAAAAAAAAAAAGAATATATGCTATTTATTTTCATGTTTTTTAACTTTATGTAAATTGTATTATATTGAAAATATTCTTTGTTTTTTCCCTCAATACTGGATTTGTAAGAGTTATTTATTCATGTTGATTTTTTTAGCTCTGTTCATTTATCTTCTGTAATATATGGTATTTCAGTATGTGACTATATCAATTTATTTATCTATCCTTCTGTTTGACATTTAGATAGTTTCCAAGGGCTTACTTTTTTTTTTGTTCCTGTTACAATGGGAGTTACTATGAATATTTTTACATATTGTTCTTTATAACATAATTTCAATATTTCCTATAGAATATATATGCTGGTATGGAGTTACTGGTGGTACAGTATCTAGGTCTTCAACTTTACTAAATATCTCCAAATAGTTTCTAAAGTGGTTGTACCAATTTATATTCCTATGAGCAATGTATGCATGCCTCCATGTCTCTACACCATCAGTACTCAAAGTTGTCAAACTTCAAAATTTTTTGGTCAATTTTCTGATGTTGAATAATATTATATGTGATTCTAATTTAAATTTCTCTAATTACCAGAGAAATTGAACATCTTTTTTATGTTTCTTGATCATTTCAATTTTTTCCCTTTTTTGTGAATTCCCAAGAACAGTAGTTCTTGGTCCATCTCTTCCTCTTTGCCCTGAAGTCTCTGTCTCTCCACTTGCATAGGAGCTTAACCTCCAGCTCTTCCCTCAGGGGCAAGGCTTGAAGGGTCCTTCTTGTTTTTCCTATTAAGACTTAAACACCTGGATGCCTTTCTCTATGTGTCTTAACATCAGTTCATTTTCTCTTTTCCTTTTCCTGTTCAAGCCCAAGAATGAACCTATCAGTTTCACTTATATAAAGTACTTACTTAGAATAGTCAAAATCATAGACATAGAAAGTAGATTGGTGGTTTCCAGCAGCTGGAGGTAGAAGGGAATCATTGTTTAGAGTTATTGTTTAATGTGTACAGAGTTTCAATATTACAAGATGACAAGAGTTATGGAGAGGGATGGTGGGGATGGTTGCACAATATTATGATTGCATTTATTACCACTAAACTGTATACTTAAAATGGTTAAGATAGTAAACTTTATGTTATATGCATTTTAACATAATAAAAAATATTGAGAAAAAAAGACTCAATAGAGGCACTGTCAAGGCTGTCACAAAAAAAGACTGAGAAACGGTCACAGCCAAAGAGAACCTAAGTCAGGAGACATGATGGCTCTGTGTACTGTGGAATCGTGGGTGAGACAATAGAACAGAAAAAGTACATTAGGTGAAAACTGAGGAAATCTGAATAATGTATGAACTTTGGTTACAAAATAAACTTATTAATAGTTAGAAATTTGCTCCATCAGGGCAGTAGGACCATTGTCCCAGGAGCTGAGGATTCTCATATAATCATTTGCAGGGGAACTGGAAGAGTGTGAAGGGCTGAGAACCAAGGTCCCTGGTGTACGGAGGACTGAACAGTGCTTCTGTCTTTATTAGAGTAGAAAGAGGCAAGTATGCATGAAACATGAAATGATTAATCAGAAATGCCCTTGTATTTCAATAAATAATTCTTCCTCACCACAATCTAAATAGAGTTGTCTGATTCAGATGATTTAATAAAATATGGAATACAAAATTGAGAAATATTCTGGACTGAGACAAGGGATAACTGGAATGTTTTAATCATTCAATAAAGATATTTTTTTCCTTGTTTCAGTGTGTCCTGGGATGTAACTGGTACTTAGGATAAACACATAGGCTACTGGAAAGAATATACAATTCTCTTCTCTATTTTTTTCCTGTTCCCTTTGACCTCTGTGTTACCTTTGGGTTGATATTTAAGAGAGAAGCCAGAGTAGTTAGTAAGAAAATCTAAGTCAATAAACACATGAAGAAGTTAGGAGGTGGGAGCTAAAGGAGGAGGGTAAGAGGAGTTAAATGGCAGCTGGGGAGCTCCGTGGGTGTTGTTAGCACCACATGGATGCCACTTTGGAAAAGTTGTATGTGCTGGGATTTTCGGGGCAGAGGCCCATGGGTTCATCAGAAGTATTGCTTGGGTCCCCTTTTGTGTTATTTGAGAGATACAAAGGAGAATATATAATTGCTTTTGTAATTATTTTGACTATTTGTGACTTCAGAAATGGGCAGATCTTACAGGAGTCTAACGTTTGTTATGGTGATGTAACTATCCTAAAGTTACATCACCCAGGGCTCCTTGAGGATTCTACCTTCTTGTCCTTGAACTAGAGAGACTTCTGGTGAAGTTGTGATTGTAGGTTCATTAATGTTGAATTTTCATACTTTCATGTTTGAGACACAGTGTAGCAACTGGAATGAGCCCTGAAATTTGATTAAAGAAAAAAGAAATTCCTCTTCCAGGGTTTGGTCTTTCTTAGATATTAGCTTATGGAGTGACTTTAACATCTGTGAAGATGTCTTTGTAACATGACACTAATCATACCTTCTCTGCCAACCTGATAGTGTTGTTGTGATGATCGACAACTGAAAATTTGATGTGAACCTGAAAACTAGACAGCAGTATCTCAATGCAGGGCTAATTGCTTCTTTGACAATTAACCAGGTAGGAGGGGTGTCTGTGCCTTGCAACTTGTGGGTGCTGCTGCACTAATGGGGAAAGGTCTATACTGAAAGTCCACAACTACTCTAGCCTCCAAAAGACACTGCACAAAAAATCAGACTACAGAAAAAATAGAAAAAAGAAAACCTCCGATATACACTACAATTTTGTGCCCTGACTTTGGAAGTTTATTACAGGAGAGCATTCTGTCTACATTTATGAGGAGACTTGGTAAAGGCTTTATCCTCCACTTACTGTACTCTGAGAACTACTGTAAATTACCCGGGGTGACAAAGGGACCAGTGTGAAGCATGGACTCCAGCGGCTGCCCCCTGCTGTGAGCCTCTTCTCCCTGGCATCAAATGTCTTCCTGAGGATGAGGGGCCCGGGAGCTGGGGAAGACAACCGCTCTGTCAGGGATGAATATGACAAGTGTGAGATTGCTTTATTTAAAAAGGAAACCTGCCTTGTTGGAGGTGTTTCCTATTACTGGGATACAGACGAGATAAGCACATAGGCTCTGTTACCATTAATACTCCTGGAATGAGAAATCCAACATTTCTTTTCAGTGATAATTTGAGCCAGCAGGTGTGTTTGCACACAGATAAACAGAAGCTTAGAGAGGGACATAGGAAATGAGGAAAGAGAAATTCAAGTGGAGCAAAAGAAAGAGAAAAAAAAAAAAAAAGCCCTGGGCATCCTAACCCCTGAGGACAGAGACAACTGGTAAACCATGTTGTAAACTACCAAACAATGAAGACCTGAGACATGTCCAAATGTGTTCATGAGGGTTTGAATTACCTTTGGACTCCTGGTTGCTAATCACTTTGTGTTTCAAAACCCTTTGAGAAATTGATAAAAGCTATGGAAATTTTTCCTTATGAATAAAAATGAAGATATTCATACAGACAGAACAATTTGCATAAAAATTCAGAGGTCTTGAAGATTTCTGAGATCCATCCATGTATTTTCCCAGGATACTATTGCTGACCTTCTTCCTCATCTGTATGATATCACATGGCATGACATAATATGATATATGATATAATATAAGAGGAGGCTTCTAGAAACATCAATTTTGTTGAGTATGTAGCTTTAAAGTGTGTGGGTACAGGAAGGTGAGGCCTTTTAGGGGAAAGAGTAGTTATGTTTACTGCATCTTGGTTTCTAATTCTTGTTCTCAATTAGGGGACTATACACTTCAGAGAACACAGGGCCATCTATGGTTCCATGATAACCAAATATCAGGCATCCATGTTGCATGAAACCTGTTATTGATGCCTCTTGTTTTAGTCTATTCAGAATATTATAACAAAAATACCATAGACTGGTGTCTTAAACAACAAAAATTTATTTCTCACAGTTCTGGAGGCCGGGAACTTTAAGTTCAAGACACCAGCAGATTTGCCATCTGGAGAGGGCCCGCTTCCTGGTTAATAGACAGCTCTCTTCTTGCTGTGTTGTTCCATGGTGGCAAAGGTAAGGGAACTCTCTGGGGTCTCTTTTATAAGGGCACTAATCCCAATTATGAGGGCTCCATCCTCATGACCTATTCAACTTCCAAAAACTCCACCTCCTAATACCATCAAATTGAGGGTGAGGATTTAAACATATAAATTAGGGGGGTCACATTCAGTCCACGTCACCTCTGTTACAAAAAGATAATACCAGTCTGGGTCCCCAAATACAGGGCTACAATAGACACCATTCAGTTAGATTTTAATGTAAATTATAGCCTCTGGGGGCAGTTCTCAATGGTGGCCTGAACAGATGGTTCCTCTAGGATCACTTTCTCTCAATTACACACAGGCAGCCAGGGTACAAAGAACTAGAAGTAACCATAGAGATCTCTGTAACACTTGGCCCCAGCCCTAGGCAGAGTGGAGGTCAGCCTGTTGCCACACAGAGATTTTCAAACTAGAGCATAACTTCAATTAATTAAAACTAGAACCAGAAATGCATCTTTAAAGCCCACAAGGAAGGAAAACCCCTTTGCACTGAAGCAAGTGAAATGGCCATAGTAAAAGTACACGTGGTGCTGGGGTTTTTATTTTACTAGCTGTGAAGATGGGTTACTGGATAAGAAAAAGCATATGGAGCACTTAGCACTAATATACCTGCAGCTGAACAGTCGGTGCACTAGCTGCTTTTCCTTCCCCTAATGTCTATGTCAGAGACAGTCAAGACACACATGGGCCCTGTGCCAAGTGCTTCTGAGCAAGGGAAAGGCCCCAATTCTAGCCTGCAGTACAATGTCAATCAAAACCCACCAGAAGGCATTTATTTTAGGATTCTTCTCTTTCCAACAAGGGTTTTCTTCCATCTATGGAAGTACTCATAGTGGAACAAGCTAGACATCATAAGGTGAATGACATTGACTTCTCATTTCCTTTAGCAATTGGATCACTTTGGACTAAACTTATGACTGAAATAAAAACACTCCTTTCTAAAGAGGGCGCTGCATATTCCCAGAGTTCCTACGATTCCAACTGCTATCTGCTCCCACCAGAGGTGACTGCATCAACACCAGTTAGAACAACTGTTTGGGTTCTATTATTCAAAGCCTCTTGGAGACAAGAGAAGACAAATGAACACTTACTGACCAGCTGCTGTGTAAAGTTTGCACAGTCTAACCTTACCTTCCCACAGTTTTTAGCTCATTTGTCTGAAGGGTAATTCTCCATCATTTCTTCTTAAATTAAATGTTATAAACCTCATCATCCTTTCTCTGTTTAGGAACACTTATTGGAATTCAAATTTACATGTCAGCTTAATTGTGGAGAATCATTTAGAATAGAAAATGAGTTTCAAAGATAAGTAGGCAGTTTGGGTGTTTGTGACATTGACATAGTTGTACAGAATGTCAGATTTATGTCAAGGGTTTGAGGTAGCAGAGCCTCAAGGTAGCTATTGTGTTCATTGTTCCACAGAATGGATTTTATGTCCATTTTCTGCAGCTACTCTGAGATTAATAACAGAGCTACAAGTTGCCCTAGCAACATCTAGTTCACTACGTGTAAGTCTTCCTCTGAGGTTGTCCAAAGGCACTGGACTCCAGGCTGCCATTTCTCCTACACTGTACTTTCCTCTGAGATGCCAATGGTCCCTTTTACTCATCCATTTACTTGGACATTGAGAGAATATTGATGAGCACCATAAGTCCAAGACTTGGAGACAATATGACATGCACTCTACCCTCTAGCAGCTTACAGCTCATGGGCATGGACATGAACAGCTCATACAATGTGACAAAAGTGTGATTAAGGGACAAGATCCAAGTGCTACTTGAAGTTAGCCATGTTAACCACATTGAGGCATTAGGGAAGGCCTCTAAGGAGGTCATGTCTGAGCTGTCAGGACAGCAAGGAAGTTTTCCTTGTATAAAAAGTTGGATACAGAATCCTAGCTGGCAGGAACATATGAGAAGAGGCTGGAGGCATAAGGGCTACCAGGAGCTTCGTGCAGTTGGAGATCAGGGTGTGACTCTAGAGAGAGCTGTAGCCAACATATCAGAAAGTCTCTGGTATCTTATTCTTCAGCTCTGGTTACTTTGCCCTTGTTGCTTGGATCAAAATACACATCTGAGCACAAATGAAAGGGAGACAGATATGGGAGAAGGAGAAAGGAGGCTATTTTCCAGAGAGTCTGTGGCAGCTCGAGTGAGGAGCCTTGCTTTTTTGAGAGAAGGTGGCCCGGAGTTGCAGCTTTCGAACAATAACATTCAATGGACCAAGGTATATTTTGTGGTAGACAACACAAATAACTTCTAAAAAGAAGGAGTAAATCACCTGGACTGTTATAACGCAAGGAAAGAGTTTTTCTCTGAAGGGTAAAAAGGAAAAATGGAATTTTATCTTTCTGGATCATTTTAAATTGACACCTGTACTAACACATGGCTTCAACAAATCCTGTATAACTTCTTCATTTTTGATTAATATGACTGTATTTATCTAAAATTGGCAAGATGTGAATATCATGTTCACTGGGCTATTGCAAGGAATACATAAATTACATACAAGAAAGTGCCCATCACAGGGTTTGACACATAATACAGAATCAGAAAATATGTCTCCCTTTTTGCCCCTTCTTTTCTGCATTTCTTTCTTTTTGCTTCTTCTTTCTTTGATTATTTTGATGGCCGAGGGAGATATAAACTAGCTACGACTTTTTACAAGTGAGCTGTTGAATTTTTGTCTACCAAAATCCATCCATTGAAATAACAGTGGCAGGTTCTTTCAAATTGTTCAGCTCATTTTCACCCTTGTGATTGTTGACAGTAAATTCTTGAAACTGAAATGGGTTTCCTGACCACACTTCCCCTCCTTGTCACACATGGAGGCCCTTGTTTGCTGTGAGAACTTATTCCTAAGTCTATTACTGAGAGGGCTGATGCTAATGTAGAAAAACAACCATAGGCTATTTTCTTTGGAAATAGAAGAAGGTGTGTGGTAGTGAAGCTTCCAAAGACCTGGGGACTTAGTATGTATTCATAGAGTCTTGACTTGAGCTCTTATACTTCACAGGGGGCGGGGTGGGGGGCTCTGTGTAACCCCGTGGTGTAGGACTGAGTGATTCTCTCAGACCGAGAAATGGGCAACCAATAGAACTGAATGCTGCAGAGAGAACTGAAATTGATGACCAAAGAGCTTGCACTTTCAAAGTGGGACTTAATTAAACACAGGGATGCAAGAACCTTAGAAAAAAATGGGTGTTTCAAATGAATAAACTCTAACCTTTTGGCATTCTCCCAAGAAAGCCACTGCCAGCACTGTTGTTTCTAAACATAGGTGTGATTATCATGCCTATCTGTGCAAACCTTAACTAACTGTTCATTGCCTTCAATATAAAGTTTTAAGTCTATTTTAATGGATAAATAAAACTCAAGTATTTAGAATTACTTCTGAGCACCTAAGACATATCAGTGAAACATCAATTTTGGCTTCCCCATGCTTTCTCTGGGTCTCCAAGTTCTCTGTATAAAGCTGAAGCTAGGAATGGAATGATTAGTGACTCTAAGGGAAAAATTTCTGCAGAGGTGGGCTATCCATCTGCCATCATAGGTGCTATCCTTGCAGTTGGCTCATGAGGTGTTTCAGATACTCTGCAGTGGTGGCTGTGCATTCTTAGCATGCCAGAGACCTGGAATACAGCCTCCTGCTTTCCCTCACTCAAGCCATGCCCTGAGAACAAGACTGGCCAGCCAGATTGTGAGCAGGTCTCTGTTTCTTACCTATTGGTCTACTGACCCCAAAGTCACATTTTCGCCTCCTGTTTCTCAAACCTTCCTGCACTGAAAGATAATAAATTGTGAGCAGAGAAGTCAAAATTCCTTTGGACTCTGGTTTTCCAAAGATACCACCTAAAAGTCCAGTTTTCCCAGCAATATGCTGGGCCATGTGTACATTTCAAACTTCGGCTGAAAACACATTTCACAACAGCTATCATAAGGGAACAGAGAAAACACAACCATTGTTTAAAAGCCAGAAGTGGGTGGTGGTCCTAGTCAAGAATTGTTGGAAGACAAAACAATGTCGTCTTGTTGGTCTATGAACCACCATTGGGAAGCAGTGTTCTCCACCAGTGGTTCCCAAAATGGGCTGCACACACTCAGGGGATGCTTAAGATCACCCACTGTAACATGGATAGAAAGCATTAAGACCTTTCTTCCTATACGTTCTTAAAAAAAAAAAGGAACAAGAATGAAGCTTTACTTCTTTACTTGGTCCACATACTAGATGGCCCTGCCTCAAGTTTAGCTGATGAAATATCAAGGTGCCAAAACAGAAAGGAGTTGGCAGTAATGCCTTACCCTTCATTCACTTGTGACACATCATGTTGTGTTGCAATTTCTATTTGTCTGGTTAATGGATTTATCACTTATCTAGTTTAAACTAAACTAGCCTTCTTATGATAGACAAATGGCTTTTAAAATTCCTGCAAAGAAACCACAGATTGAAGGTACCGTGTAGAATGCAAGGAAAAGAGAAAAGTCCATAAAACAACAGTGTAGACACTTCCATACATAGATGAGCACCTTTTATCCACCTTAAGAAGTAAAAGCAGTGGTAATATCATGATATCTGACATGAATTTGCCACAGAGAAAATCAAAATTCCAAGCTACTTGAAATATCTTTAAAAACAATATGATTCTTAGAAGCTTTGCCCTAAGTCTATATTTTGGTATTAACTAATGATAGCACAGTGCCAAAGTAAGAAAATAATGTTAAAATGGCTTATCTTAACTTAGCCTTTTAAAATTTACTTTTTTCATAGTCATAACATAAGAGTCGTAACATAAAAATTACTGATGGGAGTATTATTAACACATTTGAGGATCATTGCTCTAGGAATTTATGATGATTAGATGAAAAACATACTAACATCAAAAATCCTTAATTCTTGTTAGTCCACCCCTCAAGCCACCTACTCGTAGTTGGCATTTTACCATGGAATGATGAGGGAGATCATTTTAATCACTACTCTCATAAAATGTCACAAAAAGTGCAGTTTCATAATTAAGTAAATTGTCTGAATGGAAAATATGGGCTTGTTATAATGTTTTGGTACATCGAGTTATGTTTAGCACAGGACTTAATTCAGCCGTTGCTGATGGCAGATCTGCTCCCCTTCCGGGCTAAGAGAAGCACTCTGTGTGTCTCACAGAGCATAGGAGCCTCCACTTAGATAGGCCCTTGCACTTTTCCATACAGGCTTTGGAGGAGAGAGGTCTCAGAGAAGTCCTGAAGTTTTCAGGACATGTTAACTTCTCTGGAGACTGTTACAGTTGGGAGAAGAGGGGATAATGAATTTCACTGTGGCTGCATAGAAGGTATTGTGGCTAGCAACAATCCAAATGAAACCACATTAAAGAGTGAGTTCGCAGCTATTAGTTTTAATCAGGAGAGAGACATGGGATTCAGAATTATAAGTGTTTTGTAGCAACATTAGTTCAATGTGCTGTTTCAGCCATAAAGGGCAGTAAAATGTGAGATACTGTCAAGAGGAGGATTGAAAGCAACAGCTTCTGCCATTAAATCTAGATTTAGTGAATCTTTGATTGAATACCTGCTATAGGTCTGCGTATTGTAAGTAAGTTCTGCTTACTGCAATTTAAAATAGATTCAGACATTTATCAATTATACCTCAATAAAGCTAGAATAAAATAAAATAAAATAGATTCAGAGAGTTGGAAAACTCCAGGAAAATAGCAACTAGCATAATCATTGAAAAACCACCAAATGAAGATGGAATATAGTTATAATGAAGATAGAATATAGTTATAAATTATTATTATAGCTATACTTTCTATAATAGAATACAGTTATAAGGTGAAGATGGCAGAGGGACAGGAGCAGGCTTATAAGAAAACAAAGAAGAGTAATCAAAAAGAAATGGAAACCAGGTGATCCAATTATGTTTCCATGAGTACAATGATTGTTTCCCTGAACAAATAACCCAAATTAAAATTGTTGAAAGGGTAGGATATCAAAAGCAAGACTCCAACTCCACCTTCAGGTGTTTCAGCACCTGAAGGTGTTTCAGCACAAGGTCACTTTAATATACAGAATTACTATGAGCTTCTGATACATACCATAACACTATTAACTAATGTGAGCTAATATCAAGCTTTTAACTGAGCTAAATTTCAAGAAGCAAAGGCCCCTTCTCTTGCTGTAGGTAAGGCTTCCACATACTCTGGGCTACAACTATCTAATCTTCAACAAAGCTGACAAAAAAAGCAATGGGAAAAACACTCTCTATTCAATACATGGTGCTGGAGTAACTAGCTAGCCATATCCAGAAGAGTGAAGCTGGACCCCTTCTTTACACCATATATGAAAATCAGCTCAAGAGAGTTAAAGACTTAAATGTAAAACCCAAACAAATAGGAACACTGGAAGACAACCTAGGCAATATCATCCTGGACATAGGAACAGGCAAAGATTTCCATGACAGAGACACCAAAAGCAATTGCAACAAAACCAAAAATTGACCAGTGGGATCTAATTAAACTTAAGAGCTTCTGCACAGCAAAAGAAACTATCAACAGGGTAAACAGATGACCTACATAATGGAAGAAAATATTTGCAAACTATGCATCTGACAAAGGACTAATATCCAGCATCTATAAAAACTTAAGCAAATCTATAAGAAAAAAACTCATTAAAAAAGTGGGCAAAGGACATCAACAGATGCTTCTCAAAAGAAGACATACATGAGGCCAACAAGCATATGAAAAAAAGCTCAATATCACTGATCATTAGAGAAATGCAAATCAAAACCACAATAAGATACCATCTCACACCAGTCAGAATAGCTATGATTAAAAAGCCAAAAAATAGCATACTGGCAAGGCTGCAGAGAAGAGGGAACACTTATACACTGTTGGTGGGAGTATAAATTAGTTCAACCATTGTGGGAAGCAGTATGGTTTCTCCTCAAAGAGCTAAAAGCAGAACTATCACTCAACACAGCAATCCCATTTCTGAGTATATACCCAGAGAAATAGAAATAATTCTACCATAGAGATACATGCATGTGAATGTTCATTGCAGCACTATTCACAACAGCAAAGACATGGAATCAACCTAAATGCTCATCAATGACAGATTGGGTAAAGAAAATGCAGTACATATACACCACGGAATATTATGCAGCCATAAAAATTGAGATAATGTCTTTTGTGGGAACAGGGATGGAACTGGAGGCTACTATCCTTAGGAAACTAATGCAGGAAAAGAAAACCAAACACTGCATGTTCTCACTTATAAGTTGAAGCTAAATAATATAAACTTATGAACACAAGGAAGAAAACAACAGACACTGGGGTCTACTTGATGGGGGAGGGTGAAAGGAGGGAGAGGAGCAGAAAAGATAACTATTGGGTACTGGGCTTAATACTTGGGTGATGAAATAATAGGTTAACAAACCCCCATGACACAGGTTTACCCACGTAACAAACCTTCCCGTGTACCTCTAAACCTAAAATAAAAGTTAAAAAAGTTAAAAATATACCAACATAATAAAATAAAGGAAATAATAATTTCTTATGCAATGTTTTCTCTTTCACAGTCCACTCAGGGAATCTTCACTCCTTTGCTCTTCTGAGTCATCTGCAATCTACTGTGGCACATGCCTCCGGTACCATATCAATAGAAGAGCTCTTCTGGCCTGGTACTAGGTGGCAAAATAGACATCTCCTTAAATTACCCATTAGAGATCACTGAGAAATGGATGGAAAAATTAGTGCTGAGCCCCTTGCAGAAGCAGATACCTCATTCATCTGCCTCATTTGGTACTATAATACTATTACCTCAAATTACAAATTCACTGCACTTTCATCATGTTTTTACAAAGGGAGATTGGCCTGCCTGCAGAATCCAAGAAATTAGACAGGGTATGTTAGCCCATTCTTGCATTGCTCTAAGGAAAATACCCAAGGCTGGGTAATTTATAAAGATAAGTTGAATTGGCTCATCATTCTGTGTGCCGTATAAGTAGCATGATGCCAGAATCTGCTGGTGGTGAGGGCCTCAGGAAGCTTCCACTCATGGTGGAAGATGAAGCAGGAACAAACATGTCACACAGGGAGAGAGGTAGAGGTAGCAAGAGCGAGGAAGAGGTACCATGCTCTTTTAAACAAGCAGACTTTGTGTGAATTCCGAGTGAGAATCACTGATCACCAAGGAGATGGTGTTAAACCATTCATGAGGGAACCTAGCTAATGATCCAATCACTCCCACAAGGCCCCACCTCAACCCTGGGAGTCACATTTCAACATGAGATTTGGAGGGGCCAAACATCCGAACCGTGTTATTCTGCCCCTGGACCCCTAAATCTCATGTTCGTCTAACATTGCAAATTCAATCATCCTTTTCAGATAGTTCCCCAAAGTCTTAACTTGTTCCAGTATTAACTCAAAGTCAAAAGTTCAAAGTCTCACCTGAGACTGAAGGTACAATTCTTCCACCTGTGAACCTGTAAAATCAAAACGAAGTTATTTACTTTCAAGTTACAATGGTGGTACAGGCATTGGGTAAACATTCCCATTCTAAAGGGGAGAAATTGGCCAAAATAAAGGGGTAACATGTCCAACACAAGTCTTAAACCCAGTAGGGCAGTTATTAAATCTTAAAGCTACAACATAATCTTTGACTGCATGTCTTGCATCACGGTGTGAGAGGTGGGCTCCCAAAGTCTTGGGCAGCCCTGCCCTTGTGGCTTTGCAGGGTACATCCTTTGTGGCTGCTCTCGTGGTTGGAGTTGAGTGTCTGTGGGCTTTTCTAAGAAGAGGTTACAAGTTGACAGTGGATCTACCATTCTGGGGTCTGGAGGGCAATGGCCCCTTCCCACAGCTCCACTCAGCAGTGCCCTGGTAGGGACTCTGTGTGGGGGCTCCAACCCTACCTCTCCCCTTGGCACTACCCTAGTAGAAGTTTGCTTTTGGGACTCCATGTCTGCGGCAGGTTTTTGCCTGGGCACCCAGGGTTTCCCATACATTCTCTGAAATCTAGAAGGAAGCTGCCAAGCCTCCTTCATGTTTTCATTCTATATATGTCCCTGAAGGCCTAACATCACATGAAAGCCACTGTCTCATGGCTTGCACCATCTGAAGTGGTGGCATGAGCTGTACCTGGGGCCAGATTTGGAAGGAACAAACATCCCTACCATATAACAGGGCATGCATAATTTGGCCAAGAACAACATCCATTCCCCATATCTTGAGCTATAAGAATTATGACCTGTTCTGTAAGGTCAGGTAATTAGTTCTTCCTGTTGTCATTTCCCATGATGATCTCTCTAGAACTTCTTATTGGTACTCTGAGAACTGTCTTGTTAAAATGTGAACTGAAATAAGCCCTTTTCTACTTGTCTCAGTGTTGAAGTTAAATTATCTTGTAGCTCTCAATTCCCAGTCCTCTCATGGTTTTGGATACATGGAATGTCTTAGATATTTATAAAGAAAAGCTTGTGTAGATAGTATGATCAAGGAAGGTGTGCACCTCCAAACGAAGAAGTCAGTTTTCAGATTACATTTTAAAGGAAAGTTTATACCATTTTAAATCTGTAATTTCAGTCCATAATATATAATAAGAAAATGCACATGTTCGCCATTAATGTCTTATATATCACAACACATGCATGTGCACATGCCCAATGAGAAAAAAACCACAGTAACAATTTGTTCTGACTCTAACTCTCTATTTCCCCCAAGACCTAATTATCTCCTGTTATTTCCAACCTCAAATCTTCCTTTCACAGAACCAAAGCATCTCTTTTACTAACTGCTAGTGATCCTGATTCTAAGTATCTATTGAGTTAATGATAAAGCTCCAAATCTGCAGCTGACATGTGAAACAGTCCTGCTGCTTCCTAGACATGTAAAGCCCCAGTTTTAGGAAGCTCTGAAGTTCACAGTGATAAGTGGTGAGGACTAACGAGAAGACCACAGAGGGGAATTGGAGTCACAAGCTCTTGGATTCAGAATTAGGTTTTAAGTCATAGGATAGCATTTTCTGCCTGAACTTTTTGTTTGTTTCTGCTTGAAAAGGATATGGAAGTGAAGAGGAATTCAGATCTCTAGAAGCAATGCACTATGGGAGACTCACACACTTCTGCCATATAAACCCAAACTTCCACTAGGCTGTAAGCTCTATGAAGTCAGGAGCTTGTGTACTGTTCATTATTGTTTCTCCAGGTCCTGGCACTTAGTGGGCACTCAAAATATGCTTGTTGATAAATAAAGGATTGAATGAAGAATGAAAGTTGAAAGACTTCTTTGCTTTGTATATTTTCTGTGTTTATTTTCATTTTATCACCCTTAATTTTTACCAAGTTTTTTTGTAAATTCAGTGTTGTCTCATATGCGTAGGGGTTAGGTTTACACAAATATGCTCATTTGCTCAGTAGTTGGGCCCGAGGTTAAAAACAGCATATGGGAAGTGACATTTCCTCACAGCCAGCAAGGCAGAAAAGAAGTATGAATGGAAGAAAAAGGCCCCATAGAAAAGAAGACACCCATGAGATCAAATACAAAGATCTAGATTCCATGGTTGAAATTTTTATCTTTGTTTTAAATAGGATGTTGATTCCCTTCAAAATAGAAAATGCTGCAAAGTTTTGTTTCCTTAAGTAAAAAATCAGAGCCAGAGTGCAAATTGTCAAAGCCAAGCTTCCTGGAATCTGAGACCAATAAAAGGGTGTAATGTTGGAAAGTTTCAAGTGAACAGAAGGAAACTACTTTGGGAAGAACACACTTGGACACTCGGGACCCCTTTTCAACTTGCTGATCCTACACTAGAGTAGCCTGAATCCAGGAAATGTTCTGTTTTTTTGTTTTAAGACCACAGTGTAAAAACAATTGCCCCTCTAGGACCTGATGAACAACATTGGAAAATATACTACAAAAAAGAATGGTGAGAATTTCCTTAAATATAAGTGGACTAATTCATCCACTGTTGTGAGAAGTCAGGGACCCCGAATGGAAGGACCGGCTGAAGACATGGCAGAAGAACATAAATTGTGGATTTCATGGACATTTATTAGTTCCCCAAATTAATACTTTTATAATTTCTTACTCCTGTCTTTACTGCAATCTCTGAACATAAATTGTGAAGATTTCATGGACATTTATCACTTCCCTAATCAATACTCTTGTGATTTCCTATGCCTGTCCTTACTTTAATCTCTTAATCCCGTCATCTTTGTAAGCTGAGGACGTATGTCGCCTCAGGACCCGGTGATGATTGCATTAACTGCACAAATTGTTCATAAAGCATGTGTGTTTAAACAATATGAAATCTGGGCACCTTGAAAAAAGAACAGGATAACAGCAATGTTCAGGGAACAAGGGAGATAACCATTAGGTCTGACTGCCTGAGAGCTGGGTGGAACAGAGCCATATTTCTCTTCTTACAAAAGCAAATAGGAGAAATATTGCTGAATTCTTTTTCTCAGCAAGGAACAGCCCTGAGAAAGAGAATGCGTTCCTATGAGGAGGTCTCTAAAATGGCTGCTCTAGGAATGTCTGTCTTATACGGTTGTAATAAGGGATGAAATAAGCCCCAGTCTCCTGTAGCGCTCCCAGGTCTGTTAGGACGAGGAAATTCCTGCCTAGTAAATTTTAGTCAGACTGGTTGTCTGCTCCCAAACCCTGTCTCCTGATAAGATATCAACGACAATGCGTGCCGAGTGGGACATGAAACTTCATTAGCAATTTTAATTTCGCTCCAGTCCTGTGATCTCACTCTGCCCCCATTTGCCTTGTGATATTTTACTGCCTTGTGAAGCATGTGATCTCTGTGACCCATACCCTATTTGTACACTCCCTCCCCTTTAAAAATCACTAATAAAAACTTGCTGGCTTTGCGGCTCAGAGGCCATTACAGAACCTGCCGACATGTGACGTCTCCCCCAGACACCCAGCTTTAAAATTTATCTCTTTTGTACTCCTTCCCTTTATTTCTCAGACTGGCCGACACTTAGGGAAAGTAGAAAAGAACCTACACTGAAATATTGGGGGTGGTTCCGCTGATAATCCACAAAAAGTTTTCTCTTAGTCTGTGATCCTGGGTGTTGACTTAGCTCATGAAAACATGTCTCAGAAGATCCCACATCAGGCACAAGGTCCAGTCTTGGACCTTGTATAGGTGGAATCCCAAACGTTCACTTTTAGAGCTCAAATGCTCTTCTTCCCTCTTGACACAGAAGATCATCTGGAGGATGTAGTTTGCTGAAGGACTGAGTGGACTAAGTAAGAATCAGTTTGTTAGGAGTTTTCCTCAGTCCCTCTCTCCAATCTCATTTTTCTCTAATCCCTCACACATCCACTACCCAGCATCATGCTGTATGCTCTCCTTGTGCTGATTGATTTCAGACATATATCTTGGGGGAAAACTATTGTCTTATCCAGTGGCTGAGATGAAGGTGACTGTGAACCATGTGCCCATCCCTGGCAGAAGGTTTTGTGATTGTGGTAATTGTCATGGAGATAACACTGTTTTAGAGAACAATACTCACATCAACTCTCTCCCTGGATGGAAGAGTAGCTGGTGTGCCCTTTCTACCTGTGACCAGCTCCTCCCCAATAGCCAATGCATGCTGCTTTTTACAAAGGGAAAGGTCAGGCTAATGGTGCCAAAGATCCAAAGAGCTAAACAAAGACTCTCCCAGGGAGGTTAGTATCTGTCTTCCTAAAGCTGAGACAGAGCAAAGGAAGTGCATGATCAGAATAAAATGAATTGCCTTGGATAGCCAGCATGAAAGGTAGAGAATTTTTGAAAGATTTTTTGGGTCCTTCATTTTTTAAAAGGGTAATAGCCTTTAAAGTAAGTATGATTTTCTTCAAGGTCTAAGAGAGCCCCATATTCACTTTGAGATTTGAGTTTTGAGCTCTGAATGGAAACACCCTTGTATTACTCAGGGTTCTACCAAGAAACAGAACCAAGAGGTGTGTGTGTGTGTGTGTGTGTGTGTGTGTGTGTGTGTGTCTTATAAGAAATTGGCTCAAATAATTGCAGAGGCTGACAAGTCTCAAAATATGTAGTTGACAACCTGGAGCATCAGAGGAGCTGATAGTGTAAGTTTCAGTATGAAAGCCAGCAGACTTAAGACCCAAGAAGAGCTGGTATTTCACTTCATGTATAAGAATGATGTCCTGGATCAGAGACTGTTGGGCAGGAAAAGTCCTCCCTTCCCCTGGAGTTAACATTTTTGTTCTATTCAGACCATCAGCTGATTTGATGAGGCCCACCCATATTAGAGAGGATCTTCTGCTTTATTCAGTCTGTCTAGTTAAATGTTAATTTCATCCAAGAAAACCCTCACAGAAACACCCAGAATAATATTTAACCAAAAATCTGGGCATGTGTGGCTCAGTCAAGTTGACACATAAAATTAACCATCACAACACCCATCTTGACCACATTACTTATTTCAATAGAAATTATTAATTTAAGGGGAAAACTAGCAGGGGAAAACTAGCAGGGGAAACAGGAAAAGGAAAATGAAGGGCATGATATCTCACTGTAATATTGTTTATCCTGATGTCCAAGAGGGATACATGATTGCTTATAAAATCAGCTGTTTGAATTATGAAACAAGGCATGGTGATACCACTCAATTTAGTGTAAATTTTTTTTAAGTCATGAGAGAAACAGAAACTGAATTGAAAAAACTGAAATACCAAGTGCTATTGCACGGACGGACCTTCTACTATCACATCAGATTGTGTCCTTCCCCTGACCCCACTCCAAACATTTCAGCTTTGCTCTTTGTCCACTCAGAGGGCCTTTGCAAATGCAAGCATGCTTGTCCTTGGAGACACAGAGCACATGTGGAAGTGTTAGGAAACCTGCAGAGGCACCTGGGCCATTCAGATTGATTGGTGGTGCAGTAAGTGGATTGAGACAACAGGGGAGCTGATTATTTATTATGAGATAGATATGAGCTGTAACAGTGATGGGAGAGGGAAAGTTGGGAGGAGAATGGAGATTTTATTGCAGTTTAACAAAGAGCCTGTTTCCTAGTGTCTTCTAAGACTGGCACACCACCGGGCTTGCTCCTCTATGTTAGCAGGCTTAAATTAGGTGATAATAAATCCTAGTTTCTGATAGCCAAAGTAACTTCTTTCTTTACTTCATTACCCCCTTGCCCCAGATGACCATGATAACTAGAGTAAATACCAATCCTGGAGAAAAATTCTGAAGGTAAAGTGATTCCAAAATTCTGTCAGGGATAAATGTGACTGTCTGACAAGTTTCATAGTCAGAATGCTTTTCTGGTTGGCAGATGAAAATATTTCTCAGACTTGAAAAAGTTACCTTCCATTACTTTCTCTCCTATTTTCTTGCCTATTTTCCTGATAATGCAAATCTCACAGCAGAGAAAGAGAAGGAGAGAATAAAATAAAACCCAAACCTAATACTAAAATGAAGCTGTTGTTGAGTAGGGGAGAAGGCTGGGGGAGACAGAAAGAGAGAGTTTCCTAATCTTAAGCAGGGCCAGTAGATCACACAGAGGTGTAGTTATCAGCTGCTCAAGAGTGGGTCCCTCAGTATCACACACCAGGCTGTTCTGGACATGGGGTGGGTGTGTGTGGGCCTGTGAAAAAGATGCACAAAATGTTCAGGCATAAGTTTGCAGGTTTTTGAATCTGTGTTCAAGGCCTTCACCATCTGCCCTTCGGTTGCATTATACGCAGTTGAGATGGGGCACTCCTGTTGTTCAAAATCTCACAGGCATGAGGATAAAAGATCTTTACCCCTGCCAAAAAGATCATTCTTTCTTGGTGTAGGTTACTTGCTTGGAAGAGATTTAAAGACTGAGCAAATTCTAAGAGATTTCCAGCCATCTCTCTCTGAGGTGAGCTTCCTTCTTCTATGGAAGTATCACCGTGAGACTTCCCAGCAATGAGGAAAGCCCAGCAGGCACGCAGAGAAACATCTTGTTGAACAAAAGGTAAGCGAGGATTTCTTAACTAGGTTACAAAGAGCATAAATCATAAATGTAGGTTAATTTTCATAAAATGATAATTACATTTTCTGTTTATTAAGGAATATACACAATGACAATTTAAAAACTAAGCAAAAGGATATTTGCAACACATTTAACACTGCCCTCCAACAAAAAAAGCATGATAAATAAGGAGAAAAATACAAAATTCCACCAAACACTAAGAAATCAAATAACCCAGGGCATGAGGAGATCAGCAAAGATGTAAACAGAAAACTCACAGAAGAAACTTGAATTGCCAGTACAGATATGACAAAATGCTTTGTCATTAGTAATCATGGAAATTCACATTAAAACCACAAATCTCACATTAATCAGGCTGGAAAAAATTTTAAAAGTCTGATGATATATGTTGGGAAAGATATGGAGATATGAGGACATTTATACTTTGCTGGTGAATGTGTAAATTGATACCATCTCTTTTAGTTTGACAATAACCAGTAAAATTGATGTTGCACAAATCCTCTGAGCTGGTATATACCCTTAGGATATTCTTGAACATTTATGCCAGAAACATGTAGGAAAACACTTATAATAACATTATTCTTAACAGTAAGATCTGGAACCAATCCAATGCAAATGTTCATTACCTGAAGAATGAATAGATTATGATATATTCAAACATCAAAAAAAATGGAACACAACACAATAGCAGGATGAAAAAAAACTAGACCTACAAATATCAAACGTACTTGAGAAAAAGAGTTGCAAAATATATATGACTATATATATATATACATATGAAAAACATACAAAACAATACTGCATGTTTCTTAGAGGTTCATATAAGTTCTAGTTAAAATATGAATAAAGACATAAGAATGAAAAACACTAAATTCAAGATAGTGTTTTTCTGGAAAAGGAAAATTATTTGGGAGAGTTCCAAAGGGGCATTTAGTTTGTTGACAATGTTTTATTCCTTAACAGGTTGTGAATGCACAGATGTTTAATGCATTGTTTTAATATTTGTATGTCTTAAATATAGCAAATTAACTTATTTATTGATTGATTGACAACATCATCTATATTTATTGTGTAAATGTTTTGAAATATGTATATGCTATGGAAGGGCTAAATCAAGCTAATTAACATGAGCATTACCTCTGTATAGCTCTATGGTAGGACATTTGGCTGCAAAGCAAATAAACATTTTAAAATGGAAGTCATAGTAGCTGGCGATGTATGGTAAAGCTCTTGTTCCCTTCCTTTTGGGGCAAAATATTGCTTACAGAAACATTCTCCATACTTTCCTCAAAGCTATACAATCCATTCAAAGATGTAGCAAGAAAGAACTGCGAAAACAAGCAAAAACCTGTTTAATACTAGGAAAACGTTACACCATGGCCAAGTACATAGAGTATATAAAGTAGATATTCATTTTTGCCATGTCTGTGTTTAATGACCTCCCATTCCATGCTCCCTCTTTGTTAATAGCTTCATTTCCCTCTGAAAGACTCTCCCTCCTCCATTCACAACACACATTCTTGGCATGGACCTCGGGGAAGGATGTGACCTCTGTCAAAGCTAGTCACCAGGTTACAGTAACCGGTTCAAAAGATTTTGCAAGAAGTCCTTGGAAAGGGACTCTTGCTGTTTTCTACTCCACTGGCTGAGACCAAGAGAGAATGTGCATGCCAAAGCTGCTTCAGGCTCTCTGTGAGCAGGAGGTTCTCCAGCTAGTCTAAGCATGAAGGCCATGAGGAACAGAACCAAGTGGAGACAGAGGGTGGGAGAAACCAAGTCCTGGTGGATTTCTCAAACTTTCCAATCAATCTGTGTCTGATACGAGTCCCACCTCCGAGCTCTTGGGAACTGAAGGTCAATACACCCTCTTCAGAAGCCTGATTTGGCTTTTCTCTTTCTTACCCAAAGTGGTCCTAGCTGATAAATCTTGCAATACTAGTAAAATGTCAACATGAAACCCCTTGTTAGTCATAGGAGCAATGGCAGTTTTGGCTGAAAGGAGAGTGCTCTGCCCTCCTTGCCCATCCATCTCCCATCTGCCAGGTCATCAGTTCCCTGCCATGCTTTCCTAACCAGCTCAGTAGCGAGCAAAGGAAACACAGCTGGCTCCACTCAGATGCAATACCTAGTTCTTTTGTCACAGAATTGCCTAATCAAAACAACCAAAATTGGCTTCCCAGAAATTAAACCCTTCTTTTGACTAGAGACTCTTATCCCAGCCAAAAACACTTGATGAAGACCCAGTGCGGGGGTCATTGTTATCTTCATTTTGAGTAACGGAGGAAAATGAAGGGAAAGAAGATGAGTCTGTGAGGAGGTAATTTGTTTCTTCTGTTAGATGTTTTGCAACACAGGGGATGACCTAAATTTAAAGTTTCTTTAAACAGCATGTAACCAGACTAATGAAAATCAAAGTTCAAGGGCTTATTTCAATTATGATGAACAATCCACCCATTTGTAAGGATTTATTGACTAGCTGGGGAATATTTAAAATTTGCATTTCACTTGCCACTTTAGAATTTTTTCTAAGAGCATTTAATCTTCTTTCCTCTTTCTCTGTTCTTTAAAAGGTCTTGACTTGCTATTCTTAAATGAAATTATCCTTGTCTGCTTCCTCTTCAGTGAAATGAAACCAGCTTTAAATAACTCACCTACACACCTGAGTTTTAAAACTTTTTGAGCAAATACTTTCTCTCAAAGCCCCTACATCTTGTGATACCACTGCTACTCTATTCTATCTTATTCCATTCCACTCTATTTTGAAGTACCTTGGAAAGGTACCTTGGTAAGATACTTTCCACTGCCTTAACTGCTGTGGAAATAATTTCTCACTTTCAGAGGTGTTTTGTAATTATTTAGGAAAATCTTTGAACCAGCAAAACCACATTTTTTTCTTTGACTTCTTTGACTTTTATCTAATATGGAAATATTTTCAATCAGTGAATAAAGTTAATGGTACCTGGAGTCTTGTCAGCTCTATTTGTTTTCCTGCCCTAGCATCTGGCTCCAAAGGGACTTTTCCAGTCATGTGCCTTTGTTCTTAGGTGACTTTAGTGACCTTCTGATCTACACGAAGAAGACTGATCCTACATTTCTCAGGCTCTTTTCCTACCTACTAGGTAGGTTTATCCACAAGGGAGCATTGATGGGTGAATGGCAAGCAGAAGCAGGGTAGAATCCGTCTTTCTTCTTCTTTTTAGGGGCATGGCTTCATCTCCCATATAAGCTCTACTTTTTTTGCGAGCCTCTGGTCTGATTCTGCTTTCTATCTGGTAGAATTGACTCTTGGCCTTTGTAAATACCTCCTCACATTGTTAGTCTTAGGAGTAGAAACAGCTTTCTGCTGTGGCTGATCTACAGTTTGCTCTCCCATACCCTGTTTGTCTTTGTGATGCTTACAGCATCTGTGTTAACTAGTTCTCCTATTAAATTTCTTCCACCGAACTACCTGTCATTCACTCTGCTTTCCATACTTGACTCTGATTGATATGTGACTAAAAATTGGATTATACTTGTTATTCATTTAACCTACATTTTAAACTTTAGTTTTGGAAATAGATAGAATTGAGGGTCCAAAATCCTGGAGGGAAGAATATAGAAAAGTGAGCCCAACATTCTGCATGAAGTTTTCTCTTGCATCTGCCAATTTCTAAGAGGCTGATAAATCAAATAGAATTTAAGAGATGAAGAAGCTAAGGAAACATTTCAGGAATCTCAAGGCACTGGAGAGAGAGAGAGACAGAGAGAGAAAGAGGCAGAGAAAGAAAGCTCATTTTAGGGTCTACCATAGAGAAGGGATCTTGAAAATAGCATAGACATTTAGTTGAGACCCTAAATGGCTCCTTCTAGGGATGAGCAAAGTGGAAGTAGGCCAGACCTCAAAAAGTCTAAAACAAAATCTCAAGACATTCAATTACTGATTAAATCAAGGTGGTCTTCCCAAGGTGGTCTCTCAGAGGAAAATTAAATTATATCTGGAGGAATATAAATTACCCAAAGCCTCAATATTTTTCAAAAAATATTGTAAAACATACCAAGCATGACAGAATAAAATATCAGATGACTAAAAGTCACTAGGAAAAAAAGAAAAAATAACAGAGACATGATGTAATAAAATTTGAAGTAATCAGTCAGGCACTTAAAACAGCAACTATGGTTAACATGTTTGAGAAAATAGAAAATTTCACTGCAGAACTGCAATGTATAATAAGAGACCACTGGAAATTCTAGAGTTAAAATAATTCTATTATATGAGTTAGTAGCAGTGTAGTTGCAACAGAACCAATTAATAGTGAACTAAAATATAGGACAGCAGAAAATAGATTGAAACATGAAGAGAGATATATAAATGAAAAAATAAGGCATGACAAAATGTTTAAACAAATGAAATCTCAGGTGGAACTGAAAGAGAAAAAGAATAGGGCAAAAAAGATATTTAAAGAGCTATAGGCTAAGAATTTCACAAAATCTAATAAAAACACTCAAAATCAAATTCAAGAGAATTTGCAAACCATAGCAGCATAAATACAAATAAATCTACATTTAAGTAGATTTCTAATATAATAAATAAAACTAGAGTAACCAAAGTCAAAGTGAAAAAATCTTAAAAGCAAACAAGAAGGGTAAAGAAAGCTTGTTAGTTTTTTTTTTTTAAAAAGCAATAATAAGACTGGCATGAACAACAAAAGGTAAAACAATACCAAGTTCTGAAATCAAATATCTACTAACCTAGAGTTTGATATTTCAAAAATGATGGCAAAATATTTTTGCAAAGAAAAGAGAAAATGTATGCCAGTAGTCCCACATTAAAATAAAGAATAAAAATATAAAGAAATGTCATGCAGATTAAAGACTTTATTCAATTATAAATCATAAAATATACAAATTTCTAAATTGAAAGAATCAATAGAAAGTTTCAGTAGCAGATTTGATCAAGCAGAAGAAAGAATCAACAAAAGAGAAGATAGTTTACTTGAAATTATCCAGTAAGAGAAACAAAAAGAAAAATAAGTTTATAAAGGTGAGTAAATCATATGGTACTTACAGAACAACATCAAGAAAAGCAATATACATGATATTGAAGATTTTAGAAGAGCAGAAAAAGAGAAAAACTAAAAAAAGAAAGCTTATTTAAAGAAATGAAAACAGAAATTGTGAAAATCTGAAGAAGGAAATGAACAGCCAGACCTATGAATAGCAAAGAACGCCAAGTGGTTTGATTATTAAGATACATTATATTCAAGATACATTATGTTAAAATTCATTATGTTAAAACTGTCAAGAGACAAAGATAATTTTTAAAGTAGTGAGAGAAAAACACTTCATCACACACAAGGGAATCTCCACAGGACTATCAGCGGATTTCTCAGCAGAAACCTTACAGGCCAGGGTAGATTGGGATAATATATTCAAAGGCCTGAAAAATAAAACGAAACAAACAAAAGCAAACAACAATAACAAAAACATGACAATCAAGAATACTATACCAAGAAAATGTGTTCTTTGGAAATGGAGAGATAAAGACTTTCCCATGCAAACAAAAGCTGAAGGAGTTCATCATTACTAATATTATTTTACAAGAAATGCAAAAGAGTGTTCTTCCAGTTGAAATGAAAGAATGCTAATCAGCAACATGAAAGCAAATGAAGATGTAAAACTCACTGGTTAAGATGAGTGTATAGCCAAATTCAGAATACTTTAATATTGTAATGGTGGTGTGTGAATCACTTTTAACTCTAATACAAAACTGCTAGTACAAAAGTTAAAAGATGAATGTATTATATTTATAATATTTTTAATGGATACACAATATTAAAGGATATAAATTGTGATATAAATAACATGAAATGTGAGGAGGGGAGTAAAAGTGTAGAGTTTTTGTATGTGATTAAAAGTAAGTTTATATCAGCTTAAAAGAGACCGTTATAACTATAATATGTTTTAATTAAGCCTTATGGTAATCACAAAGAAAAACCTGTAGTAGGTACACAAAAGATAGGAAGAAATGAATGAAAGCATACCATTATAGAAAATCGTCAAATAACAAAAACAACAAAAGAAGAGAAAAGAACAAAAGGAACTACAAATCAGTCAGAAAACAATTAACAAAATGATAAGTCCTTATTTATCAACAATATCTTTAAATGGAAATAGATTAAATTCTCCAATTAATGACAAAGATTGGAAGAATGATTTAACAAAAGAAGATCCAATTATATGCTACCTACAAGAGACTTACTTTAGCTCAGCTTTCCAGTAACAGAACACTATGCATAAACGGCATAAGCAAACCACTTATGTCTCTAGTGTTCCATTATTGGAATGCTGAGCACATGGGAGTTATTTATATATAACTACTCAATTCATTGCCAAGGTCTGATTGCAAAAATTCAAAAAATTGCAACCTCAGGCGTAAAAGGGCACACATGCTAAAAGTGAGGAGATGGGAAAATATATTACATTCAAAGAGTAAGCAAAAGAGAGCAGTGGTGACTATAGTTAGACAAAATAGGCTTTAAGTAAACATTTGTTACAAGAGAAAATGATGGTTATTATATAATAATAAGAGGGTCAATTTATCAACAGGATATAACAATTGTAAATATAGGTGGAGCTAAACATGTAAAACAAATATTAATACAATTAAAGGGGGAAGAAACAACCATACAATAGTAGGGAAATTCAATACCCTATTTCGAACAATGGATAGATCATCCAGATGAACATCAATACTAAAAGTGCAAAGTTGAATAAATCAACTGATTTTAACAGACGTATACAAACACTCATCCAACAGCACCAGAACACACATTCTCCTCAAATGCACAGGCACATTCTCTAGGACAGGTCATATGCTTGGCCACAAAACAAGTCTGAACCAATTTAAGAAGATAGAAATAGTATCAAATATCATTTCCAACCATGATGGTATGAAATTAAATATCCATAACAGGAGGAAAATTTGAAAATTCATAAATATGTGAAAATTAAGCAATACACTTCTGAACAACAAATGGGCCATAAAATAAATCAAAAAAGAAATAAAAATATCTTGAGACAAATGAAAATGGAAAGATGCACACACACACACAAATTATGAGATGTACAAAAAGCAGTTTCAAGAAGGAAGTTTGTAGCAAGAAATTATACATTAAACAAAGAAAGATCTCAAATAAATAACATTATACTTCAAGGAGCTAAAAATAGGAGAATAACACCAAAGTTGGCAGAAGGAAGGAAACAATGAAGATTGGAGCAAAAATAAATTAGAGACTAGAAAAACAATAGAAAATAATGAAATTAAGAGTTGATTTTATGAAAAGAAACAAAATTGAAAAATCTGCAGCTAGATTAACTGAGAAAAAGAGAGAACACCCAAATAAAATTATAAATGAAGAAGACGTTATGATTGATACAACATAAACACAAAGGATCATAAAAGGTTACTATGAACAAATAAAAGCCAAAAAATTGTATAACCCAGAAGAAATTTATAAATTCCTAGAAACAACCTGGCATTGAACCATGACAAAATAAAAAATCTGAAAAAGTCAATAGTGAGATTATTGAATTAGTAATAACAAATCTTCTGAGAAATAAAAGCCCAGGAACAGATGACCTCACAACGAAATTATGCTAAACAGTTAAAGAAAAAATAACGATCATTTTCAAACTCTTCCAAAAAATTGAATAGGTTGTATTTTCAAACTCTTTCTACAAGACCAGCATTACCTTGATACCAAAGACAGAAAAGGATACCAAAAGAAAATGAAATTACAGGCCAATATCCCCGATTGAACAGAGATACAAAATTTCTCTACAAAATACTAACACTCTGAGTTCAACAGCGTATTGAAAGAACCATATACTATGAAGTGAGATATATTTCTGGGTTGCAAGGATGTTTTAACATATGCAAATTTATAAATATGGTATACCACATAAATAGAAAAAAGGACAAAATAACATGATTATCTCAATAGATACAGAAAACTAATTTGAGAAAATTTAACATTCTTTCATGATAAATACTCTCAATAAATGAAGTAGAGAAAGAATGTGTCTTAATATCACAAGGGCCATATATGACAAGCTCACAGCTAAAATCACACTCAAAGGTTTTAAAACCTTTTTCTAACTAAGATCAGGAACAAAACAAGGATGCCCACTGTCCCCATTTCTATTGAATGTAGTACTAGAATTCCTAGCCAGAGAAATTAGCAAGAAAAAATAAACAATTCAAATTGCAGAGAAAGTAGGTAAATTGTTTGCTGATGACATGATCTTGCACACAGGCATATCTTGTTTTATTGCATTTTGCTTTACTATGCTTAACAGATTTTTTTACAAACTGGAAATTTGTGACAATGTTGTGTCAAACAAGTTTATTGGCACCATTATTTTAACAACATGTGCTCAATTTGCATCTGTGTTCCATATTTTGGTAATTCTTGCAATATTTCAAACTTTTTCATTATTACTATGTCCATTGTGGTAATCTATGATCAGTGACCTTTGATGTTACTATTTCAATTGTTTTGAGGCACTGAGAGTTGCATTCATATAAGTTAGTGACCTTAATGCATAAATGGTGTGTGTGTTCTGACTCATCACTGACTGGTCCATTCCCCCACCTCTCTCCCTCTCCTCAAACCTCCATATTCTTTGAGAGACACAAATATGGAAATTAAGCCAATTAGTAACCCTATGATGGCTTCTAAACGCTGAAGTGAAAGTGAAAATCTCATATCTCTCACTTTCAAACAAAAGCTAGAAATAAGTAAGATTAGTGAGGAAGGCATGGCAAAAGCCAAGATAGACTCAAAACTAACTAGGGTTCTTGTGCCAATGTTAGCCAAGTTGTGAATGCAAAGGAAAAGATCCTGAAGGAAATTAAAAGGGCTTCTCCAGTGAAGACATACATGAAAAGAAAGTATAGCAGACTGATTGCTAATTTTAAGAAAGTTTGAGTGGTCTGGATAGATCAAACCAGCTACAATATTCCCTTAAGCCAAAGCTTAATCTAGAGCAAGGCCTTAACTTTCCTCAAGTCTATGAATGCTGAGGGAGGTGAGGATGCTGCAGGAGAAAAGTTTGAAACTAGCAGAGATTGGAGAAGTTTAAGAATCCATCCCCATAACATAAAAGTGCATGATGAAGCAGCAAGTGCTGATGTAGAATCTGCAGCAAATTATCCTGAAAATCTAAGATCATTGATGAAGGTGGCTACACTAAACAATAGATTTTCAAAGTAGACGAAACAGCCTTCTATTGGAAGAATAGGCCATCAAGGACTTTCATAGTTAGTGAGGAGAAGTCAATGCCTGTCTTCAAAGCTTCAAAGGACAGCCTGATTCATTTGTTAGGGGATAAGGCAGCTGGTTGCTTTAAGTTGAAGTGGTTGTTCATCTATGATTCCAAAAATTGTAGGGCACTTAAGAGTTAGGCTAAATCTACTCTGCTTGTGCTTTATAACAAAGCTTGGATGACAGCACATTTGTTTACAAAATGGTTTGCTGAATATCTTAAGCTCACTGTCACGATGTATTGCTCAGAGAGAGAGAGAAAAAAAACAATTTCTTTCAAAATATTACAATTCATTGGCAATGCACCTAATCACCCAAGAGTTCTAATGGAGATGTACAGGAGATTGATGTTTTCGTGCCTGCTAACCACAGTATCCATTCAGTAGCTGATGGATCAGGGACTAAATTTGACTTTCAAGTCTTATAATTTAACTACTGCATTTTGTAAGGTTATAGCTGCCATCAATACTAATTCCTCTAGTGGATCTGGGTAAAGTAAATTGAAAACCTTCTGAAAAAATTCATCATTCTACATGCCATACAGAACATTTGTGACTCATGGGAGGAGGCAAAATAATCAATATTAACAGGAATTTTGAAGAACTTGATCTTGACCCACATGATTGATCTAGAAAGTTTGAAGACTTCAGTGAAGGAAGTAACTACACATGTGGTAGAAATAGCAGTAGAACTTGTGTTGTTTGGTTTTCTGTCCTTGTGATAGTTTGCTCACAACAATGGTTTCCAGCTGCATCCATGTCCCTGCAAAAGACATGAACTCATCTTTTTTTATGGCTGCATAGTATTACTTTACAATTAGAGGTGAAGCCTGAAGATGCAACAAAATTGTGAAAATTTCATGATAAACCTTGAACAGATGAGGAATTGCTTTTTATGAATGAGTAAAGACAGTGGTTTCCTTTTATCCTTTTTCTTTTTTTTTTAAAGACACAGGATCTTTTTCTGTCGCTCAGGCTGGTACGCAGTGTTACAATCATATGCTCAAGTGGTCCTGCTGCCTTAGCCTCTTGAGTAGCTAAGACTACAGCTACATGCCATCACAACTTTTCAAAAATACTGAAATTACAGGCTTAAGCCACCATGCTCAGCTGAGAAATTGGCTTCTTAAAATGAAATCTACACCTGGTAAAGATACTATGAACATTGTTGAAATGACAGTGAAAACCTCTAGAATGTTACATAAACTTAGTTGGTAAAGAAACTGCAGAGCTTGTGAGGATTGATTCCAAATTTGAAAGAAGTTCTGTGGTTAACATACTGACTAACATCAATCACATACTACAGAGAAATCTTTCATGAAAGAAAGAGTCCATCAATGTGGCAACCTTCGTAGTTGTCCTAGTTTAAGAAAGGTCCACAGTCACCTCAGCCTTCAGCAACCACCACTCTGATCAATCAGCAGCCATCAACATTGAGCAAGACCTTCTACCAGTAAAATTATTATAAAACTTGCTAAAATTGTTAGGAGTTTTTAGCAGTAAAGTATTTTTAAATTAAGGTATATATATTGTTTTATAGGCATGATGCTATTGCACACTTAACAGACTACAGTATAATATTTATGCAAATTTTTGTGCACTAGGAAACAAAAATATTTGTGTGCCTCACTTTACTGTGATATTCAATTTATTTAGGTGGTCTATAAATAAACCACATTATGTTCAAATTATATCCATATAGAAAATCCTAAGTACTCTACCAAAAAACTCTTAGAATGAATAAACAAACTGTTTAAATCTGCAGGAAAGAAAATTAGCATTTAAAAAATATGTTTCCTTTCTATGCATTAGCAATGAACTACCTAAAAAATTAAGAAAACAATCCCTTTTACAATAGCTTTACAAGCAATACTTCTTAGATATACATTTAACCAAATAGTAGAAATATATGTACACTGAAAAACTGCAAAACATTGATGAAAGAAGTTAAATCATACACAAATAAATGAAAAGGTATTCCATGTTCATGGACTGGAAGTATTAATATTGTTAATGTGTCCATACTACCAAAAGTGATTCATAGATACAATTCAATCCCTTTCTAATGACATTTTAATAGAAGTAGAAAAATAATCTAAAATTCATATGCAACCATCAATGATTCCAAATAGCCAAAGCAATTTTGAGCAAGAAAAACAAAACTAGACATTACATTTCCTGATTTCAAATTATATTACGAATTTATAGTAATTAAAACAATATTGGTATAAAAACAAACACATAGTTCAGTGAAACAGAATGGAGATCCCAGAAACACATCTATGCATATAAAGTCAGCTAATTTTCAACAAAGGAGCAAAGAATACACAATGGAAAAAAGGTAATCTCTTCAATAAATAGTTGAGAAACTACATATCTACAATTTAAAAGAATGAAATTAAAACCTTATCTTACTACATACACAAAATTAACTCAAAATGAATCAAATACTTATACATTAGGCCTGAGAAGGTAAAGTTTCTAGTAGAGAACTTAGATAAAAACGTCCTTGACATTGGTCTTGGCAATAATTTTTTTTTTGGTGTGACATCAAAGGCACAGTCAACAAAATAAAAAAATAAACAAGTGGGTCTGCATCAAATCAAAAATCTTCACAGCAAAGGAAACAATAAGAAAACTAAAAAGGCAACCTATGAGGAATTGAGTAAAATATTTGCAAACGTTTATCTGATAAGGGCTTAATATTCAAAATATACAAGGAACTCATGCAATTGAATAGCAAAAACAAACAAAAATACTCAATCTGATTATAAGGTGGGCATTAAAACTGAATAGGCATTTCTTCAAAGATGGACAAGTGGTCAACAGGGATATGAAAAGGGGTTCAACATCACTAATCATTAGGGAAATGCAAATCAAAACCACAGTGAAATATCCATGTCTGCTGTGATGGCTACTATTATAAATAACAACGAAAAGATAGCAAGTATCTGTGAGAATTGGAGAAAAGAAAATCCTTGTATACTACAATAGGAATGTAAAATAATGCAGTCATTACGGAAAACAGCATGGAGATTTCAAACAAATTAAAAATGGAACTACCACGTGATCCAACAGTTCCATTTCTGGGTATATAGTTAAAGGAATTAAAATTAGAATCTAGAAGAAATATCTGCATTTCTTTGTTCATTACAGCATTATTCACAATAGTTGAGAATGGAAGCAAATTAAATGTTGATTAATGGATGAGTGGATAAGGAAAATGTGATATATACATACAATGGCATATCATTCAGCCTTAAAAAAACAAGGAAATCCTGCAATTTGCAACAATAGATGAACTTGAAGGACATTGTACTAAATGAAGTAAGCCAAACACAGGAAGACATATACTGTATGATTTTGCTTACATGTAGAATCTAAAGTAGTAAAACTCATAGTAGCAAAATAGAATAGTTCTTGCTAAGGGATGAGGGAGGAGGATAGGGGAAGGGGATGGTTAAAGCTTACAACATCTCAATTATGCAATATAAATAAATTATGGAAATTTACTATACAGCGTAATGTCATAAGTAATAATATTGTATTCTATACTTAAAATTTGGTGAGACTAGATCTTATGTTGTGTTCTTTCCTAAAAAACAAACAAACACACAAAAACAGTAATAATAATAAAGGGATTGAGAGGAAACTTCTGTAAGTTATAGAAATGTTTATGGCCCTGGTGGTGATGATTACACTGCTGTATATGTAACTCCAAACTCAATGAGACATATGTATTAAATATGTACAGGTTTTTTATGTCACTTGTACCTCAGTAAAGTTGTTTTTTAAAAATAAATATAAACTTTATGCTAAGGATGTCTGCTTTCATTACTTGTATTCATCATTTTATTGGAGGTTGATAAAAATAGACATAAAATAATAAATCCAAATGTATAAGAATTGAAAAAGAAGAAATGCAACTTCTGTTATTTCTGTGCATATGAAAAATACAAAATAGTACATCAGTAAATTATTAAAATTCATAAGTTGACCAGCCAGGTTACTGGGCATAAAGTATATCAACCAAAGTCAGTTAAATTTCTGTATACCAACAAAATTTGTTTATACCAACAAATATAGTAAATTTTATACTGTAACACATTTATTCATACTAATAACATTTAGTATTAGAAAGTAGTAATGTAAAATATATCATTATGATAGCATCAAAAGTATCAAATATCTAGGAACAAGTAAAACAAACTACATACAAAATCATTATAAAAACTAGAAAGTGCTAAGAGAAATTAAAACAACAAAGGGAAGGCTATATCTAACAAAATGAACTGAAAAAATTCATATTGTTAAGATATCATTTATCCCAAATATACCCTTACCTATAGGTTAAAAGCATTACCAATAAAAATCATACATTTGTACTGGAAATTGATAAGTTGATTCTAGAACTTACATGAAAATAAGAACTCAAAATAACAAAAAAATTTTTGAAGAAAAAGGATAAAGTTGGAGCACCTGTATTAGCAGATAGCAAGAATGATTATAAAACTACAGTAATTAAAACTGTAGTGTTAAACAAGGATAGAGACATGCATAAGGGGGACAAAGTAGAGGATCCATAAAGAGGCTCATACACCTGATACAAGACAAAGGTGTTACTGTGACACAGTGGGACAAGAGTGCTCTATTTCTTAAAAGATGATGAAACAAATCAAGGTCCAAATAAAAAAAATTACTTCATCCATACAGAAAAATAATTTCTAATGGATTAATACCTACATATGAAAGATAAAAAATAAAGCCTTTAGAAACAACATAGACAACATCTTCAGTACCAATGGGAAAGACAGGATTTCTTAAACAGGACTTAGAAAGCACTAACCATAAAGAAAATAATCAAAGTGGACTTCATTTAAATTAAGAATTCTGATGTTTAGAATACACCATAAAACTTTGAGTGAAAAGGCTGGGAGCAGAAAAGATGCTTGCAATTCATGTATCTCCCACACATTTCAAATTATATATATATATATATATATATATAAACATATATTAATATATATTAACATTTAAACTACATATCTATTATATAATATATAATAATGGATAATATATAATGTAATTCTATAATTATATAACAAATATTTAATAATTATATATTAAATATATATTTCAAACTATATGTGTAGTTTTATATATGTAGTTTGAAATATAATTATATATCTTGCAAAAGAAGGCTTTCAAATGTCTGATAAGAATCAGGAAAATTGATCAATATCATCAATCATTAGGGAAAAAGAATTTAAAAACCACAATGAGATGCCATAAGGCACCATCATAAATAGGTAAATATATATATTATATATGGAAGCTGTGGGTCTACAATAGAAAACTTATATCTAATTTATTGAGAGTTTTTAGCATAAAGGGGTGTTGAATTTTGTCAAAGGCCTTTTCTGCATCTATTGAGATAATCATGTGGTTTTTGTCTTTGGTTCTGTTTATATGCTGGATTACATTTATTGATTTGCATATATTGAACCAGCCTTGCGTCCCAGGGATGAAGCCCACTTGATCATGGTGGATAAGCTTTTTTGTGTGCTGCTGGATTCGGTTTGCCAGTATTTTATTGAGGATTTTTGCATCAATGTTCATCAAGGATATTGGTCTAAAATTCTCTTTTTTGGTTGTGTCTCTGCCCAGCTTTGGTATCAGGATTATGCTGGCTTCAAAAAATGAGTTAGGGAGGATTCCCTTTTTTCTATTGATTGGAATAGTTTCAGAAAGAATGGTACCAGTTCCTCCTTGTACCTCTGGTAGAATTCAGCTGTGAATCCATCTGGTCCTGGACTCTTTTTGGTTGGTAAGCTATTGATTATTGCCACAATTTCAGAGCCTGTTATTGGTCTATTCAGATAATCAACTTCTTCCTGGTTTAGTCTTGGGAGGTTGTATGTGTCGAGGAATTTATCCATTCCTTCTAGATTTTCTAGTTTATTTGCGTAGAGGTGTTTGTAGTATTCTCTGATGGTAGTTTGTATTTCTGTGGGATCGGTGGTGATATCCCCTTTATCATTTTTTATTGTGTCTATTTGATTCTTCTCTCCTTTCTTTTTTATTAGTCTTGCTAGTGGTCTATCAATTTTGTTGATCCTTTCAAAAAACCAGCTCCTGGATTCATTAATTTTTTGAAGGGTTTTTTGTGTCTCTATTTCCTTCAGTTCTGCTCTGATTTTAGTTATTTCTTGCCTTCTGCTAGCTTTTGAATGTGTTTGCTCTTGCTTTTCTAGTTCTTTTAATTGTGATGTTAGGGTGTCAATTTTGGATCTTTCCTGCTTTCTCTTGTGGGCATTTAGCGCTATAAATTTCCCTCTATATACTGCTTTGAATGTGTCCCAGAGATTCTGGTAGGTTGTGTCTCAAAGAACATCTTTACTGCTGCCTTCATTTCATTATGTACCCAGTAGTCATTCAGGAGCAGGTTGTTCAGTTTCCATGTAGTTGAGCGGTTTTGAGTGAGTTTCTTAATCCTGAGTTCTAGTTTCATTGCACTGTGGTCTGAGAGACAGTACCTCAAAATAATAAGAGCTATCTATGACAAACCCACAGCCAATATCATACTGAATGGGCAAAAACTGGAAACATTCCCTTTGAAAACTGGCACAAGACAGGGATGCCCTCTCTCACCACTTCTATTCAACATAGTGTTGGAAGTTCTGGCCAGGGCAATTAGGCAAGAGAAGGAAATAAAGGGTATTCAATTACGAAAAGAGGAACTCAAATTGTCCCTGTTTGCAGATGACATGATTGTATATCTAGAAAACCCCATTGTCTCAGCCCAAAATCTCCTTAAGCTGATAAGCAACTTCAGCAATGTCTCAGGATACAAAATCAATGTACAAAAATCACAAGCATTCTTATACACCAATAACAGACAAACAGAGAGCCAAATCATGAGTGAAGTCCCATTCACAATTGCTTCAAAGAGAATAAAATAACTAGGAATCCAACTTACAAGGGACGTGAAGGACCTCTTCAAGGAGAACTACAAACCACTGCTCAATGAAATAAAAGAGGATACAAACAAATGGAAGAACATTCCATGCTCATGGGTAGGAAGAATCAATATCGTGAAAATGGCCATACTGCCCAAGGTAATTTATAGATTCAATGCCATCTCCATCAAGCTACCAATGACTTTCTTCACAGAATTGAAAAAAACTACTTTAAAGTTTATGTGGAACCAAAAAAGAGCCCGCATCGCCAAGTCAATCCTAAGCCAAAAGAACAAAGCTGGAGGCATCACACTACCTGACTTCAAACTATACTACAAGGCTACAGTAACCAAAACAGCATGGTACTGGTACCAAAACAGAGATATAGACCAATGGAACAGAACAGAGCCCTCAGAAATAATGCCGCATATCTACAACTATCTGATCTTTGACAAACCTGACAAAAACAAGCAATGGGGAAAGGATTCCCTATTTAATAAATAGTGCTGGGAAAACTGGCTAGCCATATATAGAAAGCTGAAACTGGATCCCTTCCTTACACCTTATACAAAAATTAATTCAAGATGGATTAAAGACTTAAACATTAGACCTGAAACCATAAAAACCCTAGAAGAAAACCTAGGCATTACCATTCAGGACATAGGCATGGGCAAAGACTTCATGTCTAAAACACCAAAAGCAATGGCAACAAAAGACAAAATTGACAAATGGGATCTAATTAAACTAAAGAGCTTCTGCACAGCAAAAGAAACAACCATTAGAGTGAACAGGCAACCTACAAAATGGGAGAAAATTTTTGCAACCTACTTATCTGACAAAGGGCTAATATCCAGAATCTACAATGAACTCAAACAAATTTGCAAGAAAAAAACAAACAACACCATCAAAAAGTGGGCGAAGGACATGAACAGACACTTCTCAAAAGAAGACATTTATGCAGCCAAAAAACACATGAAAAAATGCTCACCGTCACTGGCCATCAGAGAAATGCAAATCAAAACCACAATGAGATACCATCTCACACCCGTTAGAATGGCAATCATTAAAAAGTCAGGAAACAACAGGTGCTGGAGAGGATGTGGAGAAATAGGAACACTTTTACACTGCTGGTGGGACTGTAAACTAGTTCAACCATTGTGGAAGTCAGTGTGGCGATTCCTCAGGGATCTAGAACTAGAAATACCATTTGACCCTGCCATCCCATTACTGGGTATATACCCAAAGGACTATAAATCATGCTGCTATAAAGACACATGCACACGTATGTTTATTGCGGCACTCTTCACAAAAACAAAGACTTGGAACCAACCCAAATGTCCAACAATGATAGACTGATTAAGAAAATGTGGCACATATACACCATGGAATACTATGCAGCCATAAAAAATGATGAGTTCATGTCCTTTGTAGGGACATGGATGAAACTGGAAATCATCATTCTCAGTAAACTATCGCAAGGACAAAAAATCAAACACCGCATGTTCTCACTCGTAGGTGGGAATTGAACAATGAGAACACATGGACACAGGAAGGGGAACATCACACTCTGGGGACTGTTGTGGGTTGAGGAGAAGGGGGAGGGATAGCATTAGGATATATACCTAATGCTAAATGACGAGTTAATGGGTGCAGCACACCAGCATGGCACATGTATACATATGTAACTAACCTGCATATTGTGCACATGTACCTGAAAACTTAAAGTATAATAATAATAAAAAAAAGATTTGCTGTCAGATGCTGAAAAGTTTAAGATATTAAAAAGTATAAGGTGCTAAAAAAATAAAAAAAAATTAAAAAAAAGAAAACATTTTCCAACCAGATAAAAATATCTTTCTCTTTTGAGATGTTAGGCTTTTGCTATAAAAAACACATTAAAAATAATTTTTGTGTTACTACATTACCTATTAAAACAACTATGTTTTAATAAACATCAAAGAAAGCAAAAAAAAAAAAAAGAAAACTTATAGTACATGTGTTAGTAACACATGAGGTAATGGCCATATTAGTGCAGTGTTGGTAGGAATAAAATTCTTAAAATCTTTTAGAAATCTCTTTGACAAAATCTACTAAAGCTTAACTTTTCTATGCATTATGACCCAGCAATTCCATATCTAGGCATGTATCTAGCAGAAATGCATACATACCTACATACAGGTAGACAATGAATAAGGCATGAACAAAATTGTTCCCAGCAACATTAATTATAATAGCCCCAAAATGACAAAACCTAAATGTCCAGCAACAGTGGAATGGATGTTATATATATATGACATATACATCATATATATATTTGATAAAAATTCCTTATTTAAAAATGTGGAAAAAATCTAGGTGACCCTGAGTTTGCCAATGCAGTTTTAAATATAACACCAAAAGCACTCCCCTTAAAGAAAAAAATACTTATATACATGTTTAATAAACATATACGACATACATATTTAATAAATATACATGTTTAATAAACATGATATACATATTTAATTAATATAAACATTTAATGAGCATATACAATATACATGTTTAAAATATTTTAATAAACATATATGATATACATGTTTAATAGTCATGTATAAGCTTCTACTCATATAAAGTGTGAACAAAACACAAAAAGTAATCTATGGTGATGAAAGTCAGAATAGTATTTTTGGAGGTATGGCGATGTGACTGGCCATGAGGAGGGCTTTTGAGATGCTGGTTATATGCACCTATATTAAGGGCTGGCAACTTTTTCTGTAAAGGATAAGATGGTAAATACTTGAGGCTTTACAGGTCATATGATCTCTGTTGCAATAACTCAACTCTGCTCTTGTAATGTGAAAGTATCCATAGACAATATATTTTAAAATGAGTGTAACTAATTATGAACAGTAGAATATGAATTTCATATAGTTTTCATGTGAATTTTGTGGAATATAGAATTCCTTTCATGTTTTCCAATCATTTAAAAATATAAAAATATTCTCAAATGGCAAGCTTACAAAAACAGATGGCAGGCCAGATTTGACCTCTGGGACGTAGTCTGTATTTTGAGCTAATTTGTAGTTAAGTGAATGTGCTCTCTCTGTAATAATTATTCATTAAGCTGCAAACTTAAGATTGGTGTACCTTAGTGCTATTTATTATATTTTAATAAAACTCTTTATTAAAATATGCTGAGAAAATCTAGGTGACCTTGGATTTGCCAACGGAGTTTTGAATATAACACCAAAAGCATTATCCTTGAAGAAAAATATAGATAAGCTGGACTTTATTAAAATTCAAAACTTCTGCTCTGTGAAAATCTCTATTAAAAGAATGAAAAGACATGCCACAGACTGAAAGAAAATATTTGCAAAATATATTTTATAAAAACTTATGCCCAAAATATGTAAAGAGCTCTTAAGCACATTAGTATGAAAACAAACACCCCAATTAAAAAATAGATAAAATATCTGAACAGACAGGGAATCAAAAAAGATATACAGATAGCAAAGTAGCAGATGAAAATATGATCAATATCATATGTCATTTGGGAATTGCAAATTGAAACAACAAGTTACCACTACACATCTATTAAAAATGACTAAAAATAAAACCAAAAGCCTGACAATATCAAATGCTGGGGAGGTTGTTGAACAACAGGAACTCTCATTCATTGATGCTGGGAATACAAAATGAGACAGCCATTTTAGAAAACGATTTGACAGATTCTCATAAAGCTAAATATAGTCTTGCTATATAATCTAGCAAGTACTCCTAGGCATTTACCTACTTGAAAGGGAAACTTGTGTCCACACAAAAACTTGCATAGAAAGTTTTATAGCAGCTTTGTTTATGACTGCCAAAAAACTGGAAGCAATGAAGATGTCCTTTAATAAGTGAATGGATGAACAGACTGTAGTACATCCATATAATAAAACACTATTTAGTGATAGAAAAATAATGAGCTATTAAGCCATGCAAAACATGGATGAATCTTTAATTCCTATTACTGAGAAAAAGAAGAAAGTCTGAAAAGGCCAAAACTGTCCATTAATAATGACATTCTAGCAAAGGCAAAATTCTAGAGATAGTAAACCAATCGGTGGCTGCTACTGATGCAGGGATGAAGCACAGGGGAATTAAAAGGATGGTGAGACTCTTCTGAAGATACCACAAAGGTGGATCCATGACTCTATGCATTTGTCAAAACCCACAGAACTTTATAGAAAAATAATGATCTTTAAGGTATGCACACTTTATATGAAATTATTTAGGAGTTCAAAAGAATTCAGACTGTGATAAAGAATCTCACTTTATTTATTTATTTATTTTTGAGACGGAGTCTCACTCTGTCTCCTAGGCTGGAGTGTAGTGGCATGAACTTGGCTCACTACAACCTCTGCCTCCCAGGTTCAAGTGATTCTCTTGTCTCAGCCAAGCGAGTAGCTGGGATTACAGGCACGTGCCACCATGCTTGGACAATTTTTGTATTTTTAGTAGAGGTAGGGTTTCACCATGTTGGCCAGGCTGGTCTCAAACTCTTGACCTTAGTGATCCACCCACCTTAGCCTCCCAAAATGTTGGGATTACTGGCATGAGCCACCACACCTGGCCAAGAATCTCACTTTATTACAAATAGATAAAACAACTTCACTGTAGGGAATGGGGAAAAGTTCTTGACATAAGTAGCTTTGAAAAGGAGTGAATCCCAGAAGACTAAAGGAAAAAGGACCTCTACATGAGCATTGTATTCTAGTTGAAAAAAATTATTTTCCCTACAGTGGTACAGCTTAACAAATATGAAACTGTTCCACGCATATACTGGAATAGAACAATTAAATAACTGGATGGCAGATGGTGGAAATCAGTTTTTTTACTGTTGGAGGGGAAGGTTACAGATAAGCAATGGGAGAAGTCTGGAATGATCTACATAGTAATGGATCTGAGTTGGAAATATCAGCATGATGTGTGGCCTAATATTGATACATGTGGCTTCATATAGAAAAATTATGGATTAGCATCCATGGATTCAATCAACTGTGCACCAAAAATATTTGGAAGAAAAAAAAATCCATGATGTTCCAAAGAGCAAAACTTGGATTTGCCGCACTCCAAGTGCCATACTGAATCCACACAAATAAAGTGATATGTAGGCATTGTATTAGGTATTATAAGTAATATACAGATTACTTAAAATATATAGAAGAATGTGCATAAGTTATATACCAAAACTATACCATTTTATATTATAGTCTTAAGCATCTGTAGATATTGGTATCTGCGGGAGGTCCTGGGACCAATTCCGGCCATGGAAACTGAGGGATGACTGTATTTCCTTGTTCTACCAGCTGAGGGGGACAAAAAGACATGATACTCCATCAGTAACAAGTGTAACCTAGGGCTTAGATCTTGTTTTTTAATATTATTGTTCAATGAAAAGGAGCAAGGGTTCTTAGAGAAATGTCTGATTCAATGACTGGAATAGGAAACACACAAAATGAGCCTGGAGCATCTTATGGTGTCAGAAAATAAGAATGCTAAGAACAAACAAACAAACAGGAAACCCCACAATGATGGTGGTGTGTTGAACAGACACAGAAGCCAACTGAAAGAGTTCCCAATCGTCAGTGCTGTATGTAACAATTTGAGCAAGAAAATAAAGTAGTATTGGATTACATTCCAAAGTGTAAACTAAACATCTATGATTCCATAGATGATAGGGGAGATTATTTAATATACAGTCATGTGGCACATAATGACACTTTGGTCAACAACATACCACAAATATGACAAGTGGTCTCATAAGATCATAATACTGTATTTTTACTGTGTCTTTTCTATGTTTATAAATCTTGAGATACACCAATACTTATCACTATTTTGTAATCACCTATAGTACTCAGTACAGTAACATGCTGTCCAGATTTGTAGCTTACGAGCAATAGGTATACCATGTATCCTAGGTTTATAGTAGGCTATACCACCTATGTTTGTGTAAGTACAGCCTATGAAGTGTGCACAGTGGAGATACGGCCTAATAATGCATTTCTCAGAATGTTTCCCTGTTGTTGTACTCCACCTTAAAGGAGGTAGAACATAAAGATTGCGCTTTGCACAGTGACTTCCTCCCAAACAATGCGGTGTGGAAAGAATGAAGGAGAGTAACTGTCCTGTGGAGAAACCTGTAAAACACTACTTCAGCCATGTTATCAATATAAACATCAACAGCGATTAGCTTTGGCCATAGTATGTATTCTTCATCCCTTGATATGATCTGATGAGAATGGCATTTCACCTCTGTGGTCTCCCTCCCCAAAATACGTAAGTCAGGTTATTCATGAGGGAAACATCACACAAACTCCATCTGAGCAGCATTCTACAAAATACCTGAATACTACTCCTCAAAACTGTCAAGGTCACCAAAAATGAAGAAATTCTGAGAAAATGTCAGAGCCAAGAGGAGCCTGAGGAGGCATAACAACTCAATGTAATGTGGTAACCAGAATGAGATCCTGTAACCAAAAGGGACACTAGGCAAAATCTCAGAAAATTAAGGTATATGGAAACTCTGTATTATCTTCATATTTTTTCTTTAATCTATAACTATTCTATTTTTTTAAAGTTTGTTAGAAGATTGTCTTAAGTTTACTGTAGTTACTTATGCTTCCAAGTAAGTTTTGGAAACTGTCACTAGAAGTGTTCTGGATCAAATTATGGCTCCAGTGTGTATTCTATCATTTACTTTTCCCCCCACATTTTGGCTCATTTCAGTATCTTCTTTACACTGAGAGAATATACAGGAAAATGGCCCATGGTTACATGATGCGAAAGTACCTCACAGTATTCTATTACCTCAATTATTGTATAGTTCTACCTGACTATTATAGTAATAGTGACCATTTTTTTCTCTGTCCTATAAATAATCATGGTAACCACATTTTGTTTTGTTTTGTTTGAGACAGGGTCTCATTCTGTCACCCAGGCTGGAGTGTAGTAGTGTGACCTCCGCTCACTGTAGCCTTGACCTCGTGGATTCAAGCGATCCTCCCATCTCAGCCTCCTGAGTAGCTGGGACTGCAGACGTGCACCACAACACCTGGCTAATATTTTTGTATTTTTTTTTTTTTTTTGCAGAAATGGGGTTTTGCCATGTTGCCCAGGCTGGTCTCAAACTCCTGAGGCTCACGTGACCCTCCCTCTTTGGCCCCCCAAAGTGCTGGGATTACATGCATGAACCACCGTGTCAAGCCTTCCACATTGTTCTTATTAAGGTCTTATTATTAAACTTCCTTGTTCTAAGTTATTCAGTTTATTGAAGTCCTACCTTTATCATCCTTCTACAGAACAGCCAGTCAATACAATCTCCAGTGTACACTCAGTGTTGACACTCTACACTGGAGTGGCATAGACACTTTATTTCCAATTTTATTGGCACTTTTGTTCTCACCTGAAATGCTAGCTTGAGATGACCTCTGAGTTCTCTTTCTCTTTCTCCTATCTGGTGGGAATGCCAGATTCGCTTATTGGTTAAATATATCTTCCACTGGGCTTTTTTTTCCCCCTCCTGTTACTTTATTTGATTACCTGTCATATAATTGCTGGCCTGATATAAAAATGTAAGCTTCTGGGGTCAGCTAAGACTTGTCTGATCTTAGAGAATTAGACTACTGAGAAAGGCCAAAAGACTAGCATCAAGCCCAAAGGAAGAGTGGCAACTACATATCTAATGGGAGTTGAGCAGAGTGGTGAAGAACGTTTAACCTACAGTCAGTTACAGAGCCCAGGTGAAACAGTGTTCACTTTCAATGAATAGTTAGGTAAGAAATAAGTTAAGATCTGTCCAATTATGGCATAATAAACAATAAGGAGGTTCTTCTTCCAAGAAACTTGTGATAGTTTGCTAATGTTCAAGGCTGGGCTCCAGATTCCAGAGGAAGATCATGAGGTTAGAGCCAGGTGTGAAGAACCCAAGGAGTGGAAGATGAGAAGCCTGGACAGTCATGGTGGAACGTGAGGCTGGTGAGGAGCACTAATGCTGGAGGTTCACACTGAATCTGCTCACCTCCAAGTAAACAGAGCACCACTAGATGTTAAAGCCCAAGAATATAGCCTTAAGGGAAGGAGCCATTCTGATATATACATGTGTTAAAAGTCTTAATCATTCAGTGGAATTTTAGGACCAAATTTTAGTGTTGATGGGACTACATGTGCTTAGAGGACAGAAAAGAGTTACACAGGACCATATGCACTGGCGGGAAATGGTAGTTTCTATGTAATGTGCAGGTGGTTTCCAAGAGATTAAAGTTTCATTAAGGACATAAAAGCTACAGACAAAAGTTTGTTTCTTCTATTGACTTGGACATAGGCAGGCCACTGCACATTCACTTCTTGCCATACACACTGTTATTGGTGATAAATGAAATGACATAGAGCACATAGCACCCTCACCAACTCACTGAGGGCAAAACTTCTTGATAGCTGCAACTATGAAAAAACATTGAAAATACTAATTTTTTTTCTCTTCCTCCTTGGCATTCTCTTAGACTCTTCCTCTCACAACTCTGTCTCTAGGAGTGCCTCTCAGCCCTCTCTTTCTCTCTGTCTTATTTCTTCTCCATTCTTTTCTCTTTTCTGTTTCAGAATTCCTGAGGGAGGGTGTATAGGAGGTTGCTACTTACCAAGAATCAGATGAAACAGCCAAAGCCCTGGTGCTTTAGGATCAGCAACTGTGTGAGCATCTGTGCTTGCCCTTTATGTATGTACCTGTTACCAAACACACCATATCCTCCAGAGGATCTGACCTTCCCGAAGAACTGCCCAGGACTTTCTCTTCAGCCTCCGTCTCTCCCACTTCTGTTTACGTTTCTAGGTCCTATGTCCCGGGTTCTCCTAATGTCATACTGGGCTAATGACAGCCATAGGTGGGTTTAGTGCCATGTGTCCAAACCAGTGACTTTCAGTTGATTTTTGACTTCAGGAATGACTGTTTAAAATAAAATTAAGGGAGAAGTTCCGAGACAAGGGTTCAAGTACCACTGAGTCTGCTAGCCCTCACTTTTGACAACCTCCAAGAAAAAATCTATGTAATTCTTAACAGCTCTGTGGTGAATAATTTAAAAAACAATTAATGACTATAGAATGTTATAAACTGCTATGTTTAACAACAAAGAAGGCATGTCCTTTTTCATGAAAAAATAGTTATGATGTTTGATACACATTTGTATACCTTGAAAATTTTATTTTAAAAATAAATGTATGTGATTTAGGGGAAAACTAGTTTTAGTTTTACCATAACCATAACAATGACTGTTGTCATTATTTTGTTTTAAAAATGTTTATTGAGTCTTTTATAGAATTTTATACAGAAATCATTTTAGGTGAAAAACTACTTTCTTTCATTGCTAAAAACAAATATCACATTTTCATGGAAAATGTTCAGAAGAGATAACAAAAAAGAGAAACAAGTACAATTACAATAAATTTCAGTTTCACGATATAAGTCTGTGCTCTTATTTTTCTCTACATACTTTATTAACTGGGAAAATAATTTTATAGCAACAAAAAGATTTTAAGTATTCATATTACTTTATATTATTTTTTGTAATATATTTCTTATCTAAATGCATATGTAGTTTATTAAAATTGTAGTCATAATGCCCACGAAATTTTTTTTCTGTATTTTTACTTAATCTGTTATACAATTTTAAAATTATTTTTAATAACTGCACAAAATATTATTGAAGCAATATGCTGTAGTTAATTATTCCCATATGTTGGACATTTAATTTTCTCAAATTTGTCATCACTATTTTGTAATGAACTTTAAAAAATACATTTTTCTGTATTTTGGATTACCTCCTTAGATTCTCAGAAGTGGTACTACTGTGTTAAAGACTCTAATATATTTTATTGTCTGGACATAAACTGCCAATTTGCTACCCATTAATATTGTGGCAATTCATGATGACAGCTACCCTGTAGAACAAATCAGTTTTATGAAAAACTTTCAAGTACTTATTATTGTTATTTCCAATTTTAGCTAACATAGTATGGCTATAATAGCGTTACATTTCTGGTTTTTAAAATGTGTTTTAATACATCTAAAATTAGATATTTAGTCAACTGTTCACCTACTATTAGTATTTCTTCTCTTGTTGCATTTCTGTTTACCATATCAATTAATATGGCCTTTTAGTATTAAATTTATATTTCTTAATGATTCCTTAATGTCCTGTGTAATCTTAATAGTTTATTTTCACTTTTATTTCAGTTTTATATCAAATTTATTTACTTAATACTTATTAAAATTGTATGTGCAAGGTATCATGCTAGTTACTTTGAATAACCTGGGGAACTAAATAGATGTGGCTCCTCCCTTTCCACTGTAAAGTGGGAGACAAAAACTAAATAGCCAAACAAATAAATTGTTGTATTTTTGGAAAAATGCAATGAAAAAATTTAAAAGGTTCTGTGATAGAAAATTAGGACAGGAAAAGATCTACTTCAGACAAGATAGTCTTGCTGAGAAGATAGCATTGAAGGTGAGGGTAGGAAGACAAGTAAAGACGTGGAGGGACAGTTTTTCAAATATTAGGTAGATCAAGGGCAAAAACCCAAATTTTGGTATGAGCATGGAAGCTTTGATGTACATGTAGACCACCATATCTGGTGAAAAGTGAGCCAGGAAAGGCCAGTAGGGGATGAAGAAGCAGAGATGAGACCACATGATTCATTGTAGACTAGGACAAAATAAAAAGAGTTGACTTGTAAAAATGGTGGAATAAGAACCTCTGAAAATTCTCTCCTTTGTAAAAAATCAATAACAAAAAAAGCCGACAAAATTAGCTAGAATAATTTTTTAAAACTCTGGAAAGTTTTTAAATCAATCTGGAGAGCATGTATTCAAGTGAAATTATTGAATCTCAGTAACAGCAATGAGTTTTGTGACATTTTTAACTTGCCCTGTTCCAGTTTCTCTCTCCAGTTCGATGGTAGACTTGAAAACCAACAGCCTACACTGACACTGTAAATCTGTTGCCTAGCAGCCACCAAAGAGAGCAGAATGGAGTTCTTTCAAAGGCTCATTCCCAGAGAACTGTCATTATTTGACTTTTCTGATGGTTCCCCTTAGGCAGCCCCTTCTTATAAGACTGTCTTTATTTCTCTTGACAGTAGCTCACCCAGGGTGAAAATTTCTTTCCTTCACGGCATTTTCTAAGAATATTTAGAGGCAATCCTTTAAATGTATGGCAGCTTAAGGCTATGTAGTACAACTAGGAAAAACAATAGGTTGACCAGTACACTTGAAAGGAAAATCTGAGGAACAGAAGGGCTTTAAAAAGTTCTGAGATATTCCTGGGAATATAGAAGGTTACACACATACATAGGGATGCACACATGCCCAGGGCTGTGTACATGTTCACAAAAGACCTTAGAAGGTCCCAAGCTTTTACTTTTGGTTAGCAGTGAGGCTCTGCATAAATAGGAAGTAAGGCTAAAGCGGACTTGTCAGCTGCATAGAAGAGAGTTGAAGGCATCTCCTAACATTTGCACAGAGACTACTGCAAAGACTGGGAGACTTAACTGGTATCAGGGATTTAAAAAAAATATATCTGTTCAATCATTAGTGGACCATTAAGCTAACCAAGCAAAGACTTCAGTCACCACACCCAACAAAGACTACAATATTTAAAGAATAAGTTCAGAAAATTACTAAATAAATAATCAACAACAATTCTTGGGAGTGAGGAGAAGTGATTTCCAGAATTGTAATACTGTATTATATAAAATGTCCAGTTTTCAACAAAAAATTATGAGACATCCCCAAAAAGAATATATGGTCTCTATGTAGGGGGAAAAGCCTTTAATAGAAAGTCTCTTAGAGAAAGGGAAATGTTGTCTTAGAAGAAAATAATTTTAAATCAGGTATTTTAAGCATGTTCAGCAAACTAACCAAAACCATGTCTAAAACACAAATGAAACATAAAATAATAAAGTCCCATCAAACATAAATTACCAATACAAAAATAGAAATTATTTAAAAAAAATAGAAATTCTTGAGTTGAAAAGCACAAAAACTAAAAGTAAAACATTCAGTAGGGTGACTCAAGAGAAGTTTGAATCAGGCAGAAAGAATTTTAACTTAAAGTTAAGTCAGTTAAAAAATCCTATCTAAAACAGAAAGTAAAAATAATAAAGAAGAAGGAACATAGCCTCAGAGATATATGGTACATCATCAAGCATACCAACATCTGCATGGTGGGAGTCCCGGAAGAAGAGAAGAGGAAGAAATAGGCTGAAAGAGTGTTTACAGATATAATGGCTACAAACTTCCTAAATTCAATGCAAAACATAAACCCTACATTGTGTTAGTCAGGGTTCTCTTAGGACAGAACTAATAGGATATATATATGTGAGATATATGTATATATCTCAAAGATATATATGAGTTTATAAGTTTTATTTTATAAGAGTTTATTAAGTATTAACTTACACAAGATTACAAGGTCCCACAATAGGCTGTCTGCAAGCTGAGCAGCAAGGAGAGCCAGTCCAAGTTTTAAAGCTGAAGGACTTGGAGTCTGATGTTCAAGGGCAGGAAGAATCCAGCATTGAAGAAAGATGTAGACTGGGAGGCTAGGCCTGTCTCTCCTTTTTACATTTTTCTGCCTGATTTGCTGGAAGCTGATTATATTGTGCCCACCAGATTAAGCGTGGATCTGCCTTCTCCAGCCCACTGATTCAAATGTTAACCTCTTTTGGCAACACCCACACAGACATACTCATGATAAATACTTTGTATCCTTCAATCCAATCAAGTTGACACTCAGTATTAACCATTACATACATATTTAAGAAGCTCAATTAATTCCAGTAAGATAAACTGAAACAAATCCACACCTAGACATATCATAATTAAACTGTTAAAAAAATAAGGAAAAAGAAAGTCTTGAGTAGCAAGGGAGAAGCTACACAATGCGTACAAGAGAGCATCAGCTATATTAACAGCTGATTAATTATCATAATAAATATATATTTATAAATACAAAGCCAGAGAGAAGCAGAATGGCACATTCAAAGTGCTGAAAGTAAAAGATTGACAACCAAAAATTTATACCCAGCAAAACTAATCTTCAATAATGAAAAATTAAAACATTCACAGATTTAAAAAAAAAAATAGAGAATTTGTCAATAGTAGATCTTCCTTCAAAAATGCCAAAGGTGACTAGTAGGTAAATATAAAAGAAAAAGTAAGTGATTTTCATGTTTATAACTATTTTTTCCCCTATCTGACAAAAAGACAAGTTCATAAAGCAATAATTATATATCCATGCTGATTGACATATAATTTATAAAGACACAATTTGTATAGTGATAAAAGCACAAAGGAGGGAGAAGGAATGAGCCAAGTAGGAGAAAAGATTTTGTTAATTATTAAGCTTAAATTAGTATTGACACAAAGCAGATTGTTATAAATTATGATATACATTGTAATCTCCAGGGCAACCACTATAAACATAATTCAAAAAATGGTAAAAGAAACAATGAAATTAATGCACTAGAAAATAACTATTTAACAAAAAAAGTCTATAGTAGAGGAAGCATGGGGAGAAAAGCTGTAAGACATATAGAAAGCAAATATCAAAATAGAAGAGGTAAATCTTACATTATAAATAATTACATTAAATATAAATAAATTAAAGAACTCCAGGAAAAAGACAGAGATATAATTGATTTAAAAAAGTCAAACAATATGATACAAATACGTGCTGACTACAAGTTACATAATTTACATACAAAACCACAAATATGTTAAAGGCAAAAGGAGGAAAAAAGATATATATTATACAAGCAATAATCAAAAGATCGTCAGCTTAATTGTATTAAAGTTAGGCAAAATGGACTTTCACAAAAAGCCAAAAAGATAAAACTTGATGCTAGAGACAAAAAAATGACATTTTATAATAATAAAGGGAAAATTTATCAAGGCAATATGACAATTATTGGCATGTAGACAACTAACAGCAGAGTCCAAAAATACATGAAGAAAAAACATGTTATAATATCAATCACTTCCAAAAGATTCTGCCTGCTGTCTTATTATTCCTCCTGCCCTCTTTATTAAATGTTATATAATTAATTAGTATTATTTGTAATAATATTTAATGTAAGATATGCCTGCCTAGCAAATTTTTAAGTTTACAATACAGTGTTGTTAACTATAGGCACTGAAGAAATGAAAATGAGCATAGGCACTATGCTATACTGTAAATCTCTAGAATTTTATCTTACATAATTGAAAGTCTATACTGTTTAACTAATATCTTTCCATTTGCCCTTCCTCCCATCCCTTGCAAGCACCATTTTATTCATCTGTTTCTATTAGTTTGACTATTTTAGATTCCTTATATAAGTGGCATCATGCAGTATTTGTTCTTCTGTGTTTGACTTCTTTTTCTTAGTATGTTGTCCCCCAGTTTCATTGTTGTAAGTGGCAGAATTTCTTTTCTTATAGCCGAATAATATTCCATTTTTAGGTATATACAGCATTTTCTTTATTCTTTCATCTATTGATGAACATTTACATTGCTTCATGCATTGACTGATATGAATAATGCTGCAATGGACCAGATAGTGCAGACATCCCTTCCAGATTCTAATATCAATTCCCTTAGATACATACCCTAAAGTGGGACTGTTGGGTGGTATACTAGTTCTATTTTTATTTTTTTTAGAAATCTCAATACTGCATTTCATAATGGCTGTACCAATTTACATTTCCACCAACAGTGTAAAAGGGTTCATTGTGCTCCAGAGCCTTGTCAACAACTGCCGTTTTTTTGTCTTTTTAATAATAGTCATCCTAATAGAAATGAGGTGATATTCATTGTGGGTTTGATTTGCATTTCCCTAATGATTAGTGGTGGAGAGCCTCTTTTCATATAAACCTGTTGATTATTTGTATGTCTTCAGTGTAGAAATATCTATTCAGTTTTTTTCCATTCTAAACTGACTTATTTAAATAAATAAATAAATAAATTATTATTTGCTCTTGAATTGTAGAAGTTAAAGAGCTAATATTTGAGAAATATAGGAACTCAGATACATAAGGTTTGCAAATACTTTCACTTATTTCATAGTTCACCTTTTCATTTTGTTGATTGTATTTCATTGCAGTTATGAGGTTTCTTAGTGCAATGTGATACCACTTATTTTTGCTTTTGTTGCTGTGCTTTTGGTGTCGTATTCAAGAAATAATTGTGAATCATTGCTTGCCAAGACAGATTTCTCCTGTTTTCTTTTGGAAGTTTTATGGTTTAAGATTTTAAATCTTCAATACACTTTAGTTTGATTTTTGTATATAAGATAAGGGTTCAATTCCATTTTTTTGCATGTGAATATCCAGTCTCCTGATTACATTTATTGAATAGACCATCTCTTGCCCATTGTGTATTCTTGGCACCCTTGCTAAATATGAGTTTACCATATATGTGTAGGTTTATTTCTGGTCTCTCTATTCTGTTACATTGGTCTATGTATCAGTTTTTATACAAGCATCATACTTACATTGATTACTCTAGCTTTGTAATATATTTTGAAATTAGAAAGTATAACGCCTCCAGCTTTGTAGTTTTTGTCCAAGATTGTTTTGACTATTTAAGGTCTTCTGTGGTTCTATATGAATTTTAGGATTAAAAAAATTTTCTGTAAAAAAAGCCACTGGGATTTTGATAGGGATTGCATTAAATTTGTAGATTGCTTTCAGTAGTACAAACAATTCAACAATATAAATTATATAGTGCTTTAAGTCACCAAATTTCAGTGTAGTTTGTTTTGCAACCAAAGCTAACTTTTAAAAGTGGGCTCCTAGGAGTGGGAGGTCTGCCATAATAGAAACATAAAATATTTAACATTGTTTTCAAGATTGGGTGATAGGTACAGGCTAAACAAAGTGAAATAAAGCCAGGTAGTAAAAACTGGAAAAAATGTGAATACACTTAGTGGATACTGAAAAAAAATTACAAAAAATTGCTATAGCAGGATAAAATAACATGATATATGCTCTGTAGCAGCATATAAACTGGCAAAATGATTGATTTTGGTAATTAGAAGATAGAAAATGTACCTAATATAATTTAGCTATGTACTCTCTGTAAGACAGAGTGCTAAAAGTGTAATTGGCTTATTTCAGCTACGTAAAATGTAATGTGATGAGAGAAATGTGCTAAGAAGAAAACTACTCTGTTTGCAAGAATATAGAGGAAATCAGAGAAGAGTTAGTTCTTGTTGGTTTTGAAAATAAAACTGTTTTGGATTTTGAGGTTTTCCAGGCAGCAAAATATTATCCAGGTGAGAAGTTATCTCAATGGAAAGATCAAAATGAATTATTTTAAGATCCTTTGTTAAGTCCCAACAAAGATAAGGTAGTGCTTGGTGATTTTCTCAGTTCTACCAAAGAGCATCCAAAAATTTAAGTGTTGTCCTGTAGTACCCTGATATGCCAAAGAGGAGAGAAGCCTGTCTCAAGACGAGTTGTGGATATGGGTTTTGCTGAATGTAGTAGATTCAAGTCAGATACCTAGGACACCTGCAAAGTCGTTAAAGTAGTTGTAATCAATAGAGCACTGACAGTTTGAACTAAAAGGAATTGTGATTGTTCAAATTTCAGAAAGCTTCCTGGGCTCTCAACTTTCTACAGGTAGCAAGAAGTCTAAAATCCTATTTAACTGCAAAGAGAGGCCATTTTATATGGGAAAGGAAGACATCTCAGATCAGAGCCAAGAGCTGGCAACAATGGACTGTCAGGGTGAAATAGAGAGTAATGGAATGGGGAATCACCCAGGCAGCGGAAGTGCGTCCTTTCAGTTACTACTTCTCCTTCTGAGATCCACCAACTCCTCTGCCTTCATTACATTACTTTCATTCCTCTCCATCACTCAACTTGGTCCATGAGTTTTGGTAGAAGACCGCAGTCTCCTATCACATTTCTCCCAAATATAATGCTTATGCAGAGACCTCTGCATCACCTTTAGGACTTGTGCTATTGCAAACCAAACCCAAGACCCTCTGACCCTAACCCACTCCAAATTTAACATCCCTTTACATTTGTTTTCCCAGGCAATGAACACAGTCTATTAGCTTGAATGAGCAAGGGAGAAAAAGTGAATTAATTTTCTGTAGGAAAGAAAAAAATGGCTAACATCTCAAAAATATGTTCGGGCAAAACTGACTTCTTATTATCTATTTTCAGTTCTACTCTTACATCTTCCAAAATATTCTTAAGGCTAATATATAGAATTCATCACATTTTTATATTAAAAATGGTTTATTTTAATGGAAAAATCAGAATTATGCATACTTATTGGGTACAGTGTGATGTTTTGATCTATATGTAAGTAATAGAAAGATTCAATCAGGTTAATAAACATCTTTCACCTCAGCAATTTATCTTACATATGTGTGGTGAGAAAGTTAAAAATCTATTTTAGCAATTATGAAATAAACATTATTATTAACTGTAGTTACGATGAAATGAAAGAGCTCACTAGAACTTATTCCTCCAGTCTGATTGAAACTTTGTACCTTTTGATCAACATTATCCCTGCCCTTACTCCTCCCCTCCCCACCAGTTGCTGGTAATTATCTTTCTACTCGTGTTTTCTATTTCTTTTTTTTTTTAAGAATTTACATGTAAGTAAAATCATACAGTATTTGCCTTTCTGTGCCTGTCTTATTTCACTTAGCATTATTTCCACCAGTTCCATTCATCTTGTTTTAAAAGACAGAATTTCCTTCTGTTTAAAAATGTATGTTATTTCATTGTGTATACAGCACATTTTCTTTATCCATTCATTCACTGATGAACATTTAAGTTGTTTCCATAACTTGGCTATTACAATAATGCTTAAATAAACATGAGAGAACAGATATCTCTTCAACATGCAAATTTCAATTCCAGAAGTGATATGGCTGGATCATATGGTAATTTTGTTTTTAGTTTTTTGAGGAATATTTTTTTAAATGACTACGTTAATTTAAATTCTTACAAAGAATATACAAGTGTTCCCTTTTCTCCACATCCTTGCTGACACTCGTTAATCATCTTTTTGATAGTAGCCATTCTAACAAGTATGAGTTGCTATCTCTTTGTGCCTATTAGTTAAATATGCATTTAACTAATGATTAGAGATATTGAGCATTTTTTTCACATATCATTTAACTATTAATTTTTTGAGCAATGTCTGTTCAGATTCTTTGCCCATTTTTTAAATGGGGTTATTTGTTTTCTTGCTATTGAGTTGTTTGTGTTGTTTATATATTTTTAGATATTTGCCCCTTCCTTACCAGATGCGTGGTCTGCAAATATTTTCTCTCAATCTATAGGTTGTCTCTTTACTCTGTTTTTTTTTTTTTTTTTTGGTGTCCAGAAGCTTTTTAGTTTACTATAATCTCATTTGTCTATTTTTGCTTTTGTTGCTTGTGTTTTTGGAATCCTATCCAAAAAATTGTTGCCCAGACCAATATCATGGAGTTTTCCCTCTAGGTTTTCCTGTAGCAGCTTTACAGGTTCATGTCTTATGTTTAAGTCTTTTATCCATTTTGAGTTGATTTTTTGTGTATGATGTAAGATAAAAGTCCAATTTCAATCTTCTGCATGTAGATATCCAGTTTTTCCAAAATCATTTATTGAAGAGACTGTCCTTTCTCCATTGTACATTCTCGACACTTTGGTGGAAAATTAACTGACCATAAATATTTAAGTTATGTCTGAGCTTTCTGACCTGTTCCATTGGTTCATGTGTCCATTTTTATGCCCCTGTTGTGATTACAAAAGCTTTATAATATATTTTGAAATCAGAAAGTGCGGTGTCTCCAGATTTGTTATTTTTGCTCAAGGTTTCTTTGGCTATTAAGGGTCCTTTCTGGTTCCTTACAAATTTTGGAATTTTTTTTCTATTTCGGTGAAAAATGACATTGAAATTTTGATAAATTTGCATTGAATCTGTGGACCACTTTGGATAGCATGAACACTTTAACAATATTAATTCTTTCAATTCATGAAAATGATGTGTCTTTTTCATTTATTTGTGACTTTTTCAATTTATTTCATCAATGTTTTATAGTTGAAGGAATACTTACCAAACTAGGTTTACTAAGTAAACATTACCCTTAATAGTAAAGCAAGACAAAAACATTGAAAGAAAAAACTATAGGCCAGTCGCGATGCCTCACGCCTGTAATCCCAACACTGTGGGAAGCCGAGGGTGGTGGATCTCTTGAGGTCAGGAGTTCGAGACCAGCCTGGCCAACATGGTGAAACCCCATCTCTACTAAAAATACAAAAATTAGCTGGGCATGGTGGCGGGCACCTGTAATCCCAGCTACTCAGGAGGCTGAGTCAGGAGAATAGCTTGAACCCGGGAGGCAGAAGTTGCAGTGAGCTGAGATCATGCCATTGCACTCCAGCCTGGGTGACAAGAGCAAAACTCCATCTCAAAAAAAAGAAAACTACAGACCAATATCTCTAATAAACACAGAAACAAAAATCCTCAACAAAATACTAGCAAACAAAACTCAACAGTGCATTAAAAAGGTCGTACATCATGATCAGGTGGGAATTATCCCAGGGATGCAGGGATGTTTTAACATAAATCAATAAATGTGATACGTTGAATCAAATAATGTGATATTAACAAAATAAAGGATGAAAATCACTTGATCATCTCAATAGACACAGAAAATGAATTTGAAAAAATTCAACATTTGTTTATGTTAAACACTAAAAACAAGGTATAGGAACTATATAACTCAATACAATAAAGGCCATATATGACTACCCTACAGACAACATTACACCAAACAATGAAAAGTTGAAAGCTTTACCTTTAAGATTAGGAGCAGGACAGGGATGCCCACTCTTACTACCTCTATTCAACATAGTACAGGAAGTCCTAGCCAGAGCAGTTAGGGAAAAAAAATAAAAATAAATAAATAAATAACAGGTACCCACATATGGAAGGATGAAGTTTACTGGTGACACGATCTTATATATAGAAACCCTAAAGACTCCACCAAAAAGCTGTTAGAAGTGATAAATTCAATAAAGTTGTAGGTTATAAAACCAACATAAAAATCAGCAGCATTTTTACACCCTAACAACAAACTATCCACGAAAAAAAATCAAGAAAACAATTTAATTTACAATCACATAAAAATACTTATGAATAAATTTAATCAAGGAGGTCAAAATTTTTATATTTTAAATAGAGTCTCAGGACAGTTGGTAATAGAGCATTCTCAATATAATTGTAATTCAGGAACGCCTCAGGTGAAGATGCCATCTGAAAACCACTTGCCAACAACAGGAATACTATTTGGAAAGTAATATTTAAATATTTGTGTTAATTGTCATCGCATATTCAGGAAGTTGAGGATTTTTCTTTTTGCTTCAGAAGATTTTATACTTATTTCAATGGGATTTAAAGAAAAGGTTTTTATAACACGTATTATTTCGACGATTTCTGGTTGCTTTCCTAAATGATCTTGTTCTACTTCTTCACAATTAAGAACATTCAGTGGTAATAAACTTGCCTACCTTCCCCACCCCACAGAGAAACACAATTTTCAAATGCTTTGAATTTAAAATGTAAGTCCGCTTACACTGGCATACCTCTGTTTATTTTTTTATAGAACTATTCTTTCTCTGTGGGCTAATCAGAAATGTGATTGGGTTTGCTGCTGTGATCTGTGCATGCCCTAGGCCACATTCTCACTGATTTCACTGAGTACTTAATTTTAATAAGAGCAGTAACACACAATTCTTACTTTCTACTTCAGAGTCCTAGTCTCTGTATTTAGTTAAGATGAGATGGTGATTTCAGTACTTAGGTGGACATTAATTGTGTAGAATCTTTTATTTCTCATGATGCCTCATGTTTCTTACTTTTTATCTCTCTCAGATGTCAAACAACAATCTGCACTTAATTAGATGTGAGGACGGCTCATGAGATCTTTCTCTCCTGACCCACAGCTGAGTCTCCTTCTTTTCCACACCCAAAGCCTCTCTTTGTTGACCTTTTATGTAGCTAAATAAGCTCCTGGTAAGCTCAAGGTTGGTACTAAGACTCAGCCCGGCCCAGGAACGTTTGTCTCCAGACTACCTTACTTAAGCGTCAAGGACTATGGCCCAACACTTTTTTTTTTTTTTTTTTTTTTTTTTTTGAGACGGAGTCTCGCTCTGTCGCCCAGGCTGGAGTGCAGTGGCGCGATCTCGGCTCACTGCAAGCTCCGCCTCCCGGGTTCACGCCATTCTCCTGCCTCAGCCTCCCGAGTAGCTGGGACTACAGGCGCCCGCTACCACGCCCGGCTAATTTTTTGTATTTTTAGTAGAGACGGGGTTTCACCGTGTTAGCCAGGATGGTCTCGATCTCCAGACCTCGTGATCCGCCCGCCTCGGCCTCCCAAAGTGCTGGGATTACAGGCGTGAGCCAGGCCCAACACTTTTGAAGTGAAGGAGTCAGAAAGTTTTTTCAATAAAGGAAAAAAAAATTACTTGCAAAAAATGATAAATAATGTCTCTTACTAGCTTGTCAAATCTACATTCTAACAAACATATTTTTATGATTGCTAGACATGCTTCAGGCATCCATGGCTGCTCACATATACAAGTTTGATTCCGAGCAAAAGAAAAAAAAACAGTGGAATCTTCAGATGAGAGTTCTAAGGATGTTTGCTTTTTCCTATAAGATAGGACAAGACAAATTGGAGTTAATCTAGGTAAACAGATTTGCTGGGAAAATCTGGTTATTACCTCCATTCAGGATTATTTTAGTTACTATGGCTATATAACAAATTACCTTAAAAATTAGTGACTTAAAGCAATTTTTCTATTTTGCTCATAATTTTGTGAGCCAGCAATTTTGAAAGGGTTCATATTACCTGGGTTCATGTAGTTGCACTCAGATGTTGGCTTAGGCTGAAGAATTACGAAAGCTTAGTGGATTGGGTATGCACCATGGCTCACTCACAAGGCTGGTATTTGTTGTCTTTCAGCTGGAAGCTCGTTTGGGCAGTTGAACTGGAGGGCCTCTCTGTGGTCTCTCCATTATGGTGGTCTCAGTGTAGTTGAGCATCTTGTACAGTGACTCAAGGCTCCAAAGTGAGTCTTCCAGCTTGTGATATGGGGGCTGCATCGCATTATATGACAGCCTTAGACGTTACACAGCATCACTTTTACTTCTTTATGAGCCACAATCCTTTTATTGCTTCTATATGAGCCACAATCCTCTCAAATTCAAGTGAAAGGGTGTTAGACTCCCCACCCATATCCTCTTCTCTGGGCCTTACTGCTCCATCATAGAGTGGTACAGTCTCCTACCACAAAGAGGTAGAGTCTCAGAGGTGGAGGGGTAAGGTCAGAGAAGAGCATGTGGGGTGGGAGTGTTACAGCCAACTTTGGAAAATACAATCTCCCTCAGAGACAACACAACATTACAGTCATCAGGTGAGCTTGTAAATGAAGAGGTACCGAGGAGTGCCAGAAAAGCTACCACTTTTCATCAGTATAATTTAAAAGGGCAGTTGGAACTCCAAGAAATTCAGAGGCAAAGTAGAAGCTGCATATGGGTCCATGTGGCTGAAGCATTCATGTGGGTGTTTCAGGAAGGACCTGGGCACCAACAGGTCAAGAGGGTCCCCTTATTTCCCACTTCCTATCACCCTTGAGAATCTAAGCAATAGGCTTAAGTCAGGTATTGAGAAGAAGGAGAAGAAAATCATTCATTATATCATCAGATTTATAGAAAATATTGATTAGGTTTGATCCTCTCCTCACCTGGTTGCTGTAAAGAAATAATCTGTATAACAAACCCCCATGACACAAGTTTACCTATGTAACAAACCTGCACTTGCACCCCTGAACTTAGAACAAAAGTTAATAAAATAAAAATGTATTTCGATAAGCTAATAAAAATTTATAATAAAAAAGAAAATATTGATTAGATTTGATACCTAAATACTATAGAAAAGTCTCCCTGGATTCTGGACATTAAGAGAAGAACTGGGTAGGAACTTCATTGAAAGACAGTGGATATATCAGTGTGGATAGAGGGAGCAAATGCGGAGTTTGTGAACAAAGTTACCCAATCATGGACTAATAGGGTTTCATTTGTATTTTCTTTTCAGAGGCTTTCAAATCTAAGTAGTATTTCAACTCTGTCTGTGACAGGGGGTGTTTTTTGTCATGCTTTAGAAACCTTCCCCCACTGGGTAACTGCACAGGCTAGAATGGAAATTTCCTGAGGGGACCTTAACTTCTAAAACTGGAGGTGAGGCGTGTGCTTCAACTACCTCAGATGAAATAAAATTAATGTCTTTTTGAGTGAGACACTCTTCTGGATGTCCTGCTCTCTCATTTTATCTTCATATCAACTCTGAAATATTAATAGTATTATTCTCCCTTCACAGATGAGGATAGGTTTATATTTAAAGGACAAATTCTGAACAAAGTTCTTATCGTGAGTACTCTATGAGTCACAGTTTCATAAGGTGAGTCAAATGCCAAAGCCCTGGTCTCCATACTGCACTTCAATGCTTTTTAGGATCCCAATGAAGCTCAGAGGAAATTATTCACTGTTAATATTTTTATTCTTCTTGGTGTTCTCTAAAGTGCTATTTTAATCTCCAATTCACAGAGGAAACCTCAACATAAAGAAAAACAAAGCCTGTGGCATAAGAGAAGCTGTGGACATTTCCCTTATGATCACGCTGAGATCCAAAGCTGGGAAGTCAGTCCCAGCAGCCAAAGGTGGGCAGAGTCTTAAGACAGTATGAATGAGATGGGGCTACAGCTGTACTTCTAATACTTCAGTTGAGAGACAGAAGAGAAAGGCCTTGGGCCCTTTTACAGATATTACTCCTGTGCAGAAAAAGCAAGTGGCAGTACATGACAAATGGAACTAATCTAAAGCTCAGAGGATGAAATCATTTTAGGCCTGAAATGGCAGAGATTAAACTAAGAGCATTCCGGGACTCCGTACATCTCTACTCATATATAGATTTATGGTAACTATGCAATTAAATGTTAGAAAATGGGATTTGATTTAGTACTACTAATTATTTTATTCATTCGCTAATATGTTTATATATTTTTAAATGCATATTGAGCCTATACCATGTATTAAGCACTGGTATTATTAAGCATAATTAGTACACAAAGAAGGTGTGGACTCTACCTCCCTGGGTAGTCTAGTTGAGAAAGTATACAATACACGGTTAAAAAGCCATATGAATATGAAACTATCCATTTGTATAAGTACTATTAATACAAGGGAAACTCATAGAGTGCAATGATGAGAATTAACATGACCTACTCCAAAAGGGTCAGTGGAGAACGTCTTGCTGTGCGATTCAGATCTGAGCCTGCGATAAGGGCAATCCAGGCAAAGAGACTAGGTCTAGAGGGACGAAGGTCTAGAGAGACGAAGGTCTAGAGAGAGAAGGGTGTGTTGCCTTTCAAGAACTAAAACAGTGCATTTGTATTAGATCATGAAGCTCAAGGAAAAGCATGGCAAGGGTGGGCTTTAGGAGGTAAGTTGGGACCTCAGCAATGTGCAAAATTTTGATTTTATTCTCAGTGCATCAGGTAGCTGTTGGAGGCCCCCTGAGAAGGGAATGACATGATCTGATTTACATTTAAATAGCCATTTGTGGATAAAATGGCTGTTTTATCCTCAATGTTTTTCTAAGGGCTTAAATAATAATGAAATGTAGTGGAGCTCTTTTCTAGAAAGCCAATAGAAAAATCTCACCTATTCCCTTTTGTTTCATCTACAGTCAGCTGAATCCCTGATGAACAAAATCACAGAAAAAGGAATTCTTGGTAACCAGTCAATTCAAGTTCTGACTCATAGTCCTGCTGTAACCACAATAAGTTCAACCAGCTGGATTGGTGGCATCTCCTGAAAACAGAAGATAATCAGCTGAGCTTGGAGGGGTGAGGCTGAGAGAAAGTAAAAGATAGGGAGTTGGAAAGGAAAAGACATCCAAATCTTAACTCAAGTTTAGTTTCATTGGAATTAATATGAGAAGTGTAATCTATGGAGGTGGTCATTTTTTCAATGCAGGGGCAGTTCTTAGTGTTGTGTGGACTGAATCTAGAGAGAGCTGTTTACGTTGATGCATTTGGTGTCAGATGTGAAATCCATTCCCAAGTGAGAGACACTGGCAAGGCCAAGGCTGCTACGGGCCAAATGAGTATTCAGGACAGGAAGTCTAGTCTGGTAAGTGCTGCAATGTACACATGGGCTCAGTAAAAGGCCATTCTGGTAGATGAATTTCTCCTGCCAAGATTTGGATGCAGCAACAACGCTGAGTCCAGGAGGACAGTTGGCTCCTTGCACCCAGCAGTCATGGATGTAAAGGCTGGAGACTACTTTCTGCCCAACTGATTGGTGGAGAGGGAGCTCCCTCTTTACTTCTAGGTCAGGGTCTGTTTGGCTTAGCGCTGGGCCCAGACAGTCTGCAGAAGTTGAGGTCAGGTTGCTGGCAGTTGGATAGGGCTGGCAGGAGTTGGAAGTGGTCTTCGGTCTTTGTTGACAACTTTCTTTTCCTCATCCTCCTCTCCCTACCAACTCTCTTTCCCTTCCTCTCCTTCCTCTTGCTCTACCTCCTCCTCCTTCTTTTTTGGTACTATGTTCCTTGTCCCAATCAAATGAAGACAACAAAGAAAATGCATTATGTTCTCACTCACAAGTGGGAGTTGAACAATGAGAACACATGGACACAGGGAGGGGAATATCACACACCGGGGCCTGTGGGGGATAGGGGGCTAGGAGAGGGATAACATTAGGAGAAATACCTAATGTAGGCTATGGGTTGATGGGTACAGCAAACCACCATGGCACATGTATACCTATGTATCAAAACTCCAAGTTCTGCACATGTAACCCAGAACTTTAAAGTATAATAATAATAAAAGAAGATGATGAATTGATTATTAAGGTAAATAGATATGCCCTTTGTTTAGAGGGTTTATTCTGTCAAATTTTTAGATCAATTTCAAAATTGGACATTTGAAAGGAGATAGTAAGGCTAAAGATAGCTCCTGGAAGCAAAGTTTCTTATTGGCTTGGGAAGCCAGCTCATACCTGACAGGTAGATAGAGTCCCAGAGTCTGCAGGAGATCTGTTCAGGGCTCTGTGCATGAGAATGTTCAGAACCCACTGGCTACATGGAGTTTCCTTCTCTAGCAACTTTGTCTCAGAGAAGTCACCATCAAGATCCATAAGAATGTCTCATTAGCACATGTACTTACAAAGTGCAAGACTAAGATGGATGAGAGGGACCTAGGTTATCAATCAAATTGTATGTAGGATCAGGGAATAGCCTAGATCTAGGGCTTGGCTATTCTATAGCTTGCTCAGTGTTCATTCTGTTTGGACATAGCATTGGTATGTTGCAGAGGTCAGAGGTTAGTCTTGGTTGGAATCTTCAATGGTGTGGGATCCAGTGACTTCTGAAAACAGGACAGCCTTCTGAAAACTTCTCCCACCTCTGAGCTCAAGAGGAAACCCAAACAATACCTGCCTTTGCCTACAGCATGTGTTGCAAAGTATGAAGTCAAAATGTCCCCAAGGGCAAGGGAGTGATGGCAGTCTTTTTTTTTTTTTTAATAGTGGAGGGGGAAATACACAATAATTCTGAGAATGTTCAATGAGATGTGGCTATCTGATGGGCTATTTCCAGCTAGTGCTTTTTTGCCACAAGGTATAGTAGTTCTTACTGCTGTATATATTTGGGGTAAAGCCTAGACTGGGAACAGCTTGGCACTGACTTGTTACTGTGAAACCCCAATTCTTCAGCAGAGAGCTTTCTGTGCAGGAGGAGACAGCAAATCATCTCCAGTCTGGGCACATGGCCACATGGAACTACCAAAGAAACAATGCATGAGACCATGGTATTTCCTTCTGAAAACACCCTATCCAGGACTGGCCACCTGCTCACAAAAAGGAGGATGAGACTGAAGTTCAGAGAAGCCCTCTGTAACCATAACAGCCACAGGAAAGAGATCTCTAACAATCAAAGTCTTCACATAGAAAAGGAATCTGATCTGCCGTGCCTAGTTCAGGGGCAATGATGGCACAGAGATGGGCAGGAAGGAGACTGCATCCTGATCACAGCCCACTACACTTCGCATCCCGCCTGATGGGAGAAAGCTGAAATATTAAATACAGCACATTTCCGAGTATCTTTGATTAACAGTTGTGTTACTAAATGATAGTTTTGAAGGTCACAGACTCAAATGATCCCAAGAAATGGGATGAATATAAGACAATAGGGAGCAGCAGAGACTTTGGTAAACTGCATAAAACATTTTAATCTGAAGTCCAACAATCTGGCAGTCAGTTCTGACTAATGGTTTCCATTTTAAAGTCTGGGGCCAATATTACCAGATTTTTCAGGGTTTAAGAAAGACAATGCATCCAGAATTTAAATGACATATCTTATTTTCAAACAATAGTGTGTAATTTTGTTGAAAACATTGTGTGGTCAGCATCTACCACATTCGTAGTGCTACACCTGTCCCGGGGATTATCATTTGTAACCTGGAGCTTTTAGAAGATAATGGTTACGTATGGTAGCTCTCCGGCACACTCTAATCCAATCTAATTCTCTGTGGGATCTAGGTCTGTCAGTAAGAATAGCAACAAAGTGAGTTTTATGCACAGAAAATTAGATTGTGAATAGATGACCTGGTTGCAAGCTCCTTAGATATTAGAATCATGTGACTGATTCTCATCCCTGGAGATAACTCTGCGCGACTATGGTGTTTCATCCCTGGGGCTTCAGGGACCAATGCATCTTACAAGACCTGAGCGTCCACAGGATCCTTGCTTTAGAATTTACTAACAACTGTATGTGATGAGCACAATCTAGTGTGTTCTCTGTACTCTTGGCATAATCTGATTAAATTCCCCATGTCCAGTGGGCAGGGCTACAATTGCAAGGGACAGATCATCCAACTTTAAAGACAGCTTTCCCAGCCTGAAGAGGACTAAGCAGAAGCTCCCTGCAAGGACAGCAGCATAGGAAGCAAAGGTTATACATCACGCTAGAGCCCCAGCTGTGGGTTTCAATCTCTATAGGCTCTGGAAAACAGCTCTTGATTTTACCTTTTCATCTCGGCCCACTACTTTGAGAAAATGCCTCTAAATATTTCATGGGCATCTCGGCCCTTCTCAGAGCCTCCACAGGAAGCTCAAATCCTTCCTCCTTGTCTCATTAATTCGCAAAATGTACTTTGTTTCACTCGATGGAAAATTCCTTGGTTGGAAGAGGAAGGGAAGCATTGTTATGAAGAAAATAGAATGCAAAATGTTACCCCAGGCTTTTGTCTGAGGGCAGCCAGACCTCAGGGAAGAGCCTAGTGAGAGTATGGGCAGCCCATTCCAGCCCCTCCCTGCTGCTCCATCCTCTGTGGGCCAAAAGAGGCTGGGGGTGTGGATGGACATCTTTCTAGTCTAGAGACCCTTGAACACCCAAGAGCTGTGAATTGGTGCTGGGAAAATCTCAAGCCTGAATATTTAAAATATCCTTAGTAAGGAGGCCCAGGAGAGAGGGACACACACACCACATACACATGCCTGCATGCACATGCACACACACAAGCACGCACCTGAGCCCATGATTGTTAGCACTGCCTGTGGGATGCTGTGCTTGGTTCAGTGTTTGCTGGATATATCTTTTAGTGATGAAACAACAGACATGATGGGTCCATGGCCAGCATCACCTCCTGGCATAAACTCTAGGTATTACTCCTTTCTTGTGAAGCTCAAAAGTTGTTGGAAACATGTCCCTTTCCACTTCAGATCCCTAATAGAGCACCTGGGCCCAGTCTAAGGGCACTGACACCCTTAGCTGGCTCCCTCTTTGCCTCAGTCCTCTTCAGAATGAGCAAGCGCTGGTGACAGGTGTGGAAATTATTTCCAATGCATTTTGAATGTATATCAGCATCTCTAACCCTAACTCATATGATGAAAAAGAAATCAGTTCACATTATATCTGTCCCTGTTGCCTAGGCCTCCTTACTAAGGATACTTTAAGGATTTAGGCTTGTTAAATAATACTGAATTGGATTGCTAAATCCTAGAGTGGTCCCTCTGCCCATCTGCTTCAGGCCAAAGGGAGGATCATCCCTGAAGAATCCTTGACCAGGACAAGCATACTCCTTCCAGGGAATGCATACTCACCAAGGGAGAAACACAAGGTCACAGAAACATCATGGGATTTGTCTACCCTCCTCCCTTACCGTATTGGCCAAATGGAGATTACATTATGCCGAAAAACATGTGATCCCCATATCTCAGTGGTTTACAACACGAAAATGTTTCTTTCCCACTCATATACCATGTGTTTAACGGATGGAGCGTATTTATGTTCCATACCTTTCTCACTCCAGGACCAAAGATGAAAGAGCAGTCTAATTTGGAAAAGAGCTTCTCAAATTTCAGTGTATGAATTGGCTTAAGTTACTTGAACTCATATTTTATTTTATTTTATTTTATTTTTATTTTTATTTATTTATTTTTTCTTTTTTGAGATAGAGTCTCGCTCTGTCGCCCAGGCTAGAGCGCAGTGGCACAATCTCGGCTCACTGCAAGCTCCACCTCCCGGGTTCACACCATTCTCCTGCCTCAGCTTCAGAAGAAAGGTTTTGGGTTAAGAGGTGTAGGGCAGCCAGGAGTTCAGCCCCGGTCATGTGAAGCTTGAGCCTGTTAGACAGTCAAGTGGAGATATCAAATAGTCAGTTGTAGATGTGATTTTGTAGATGAGAAAGGTGTTTAGGGCAGAGATTTAAATTTGAGAGCCACAGCTATTTTGTATTTAAAGCCATGAGGCAACATGAGCTGATTCAGGTATGATGTGGGCAAAGAAATGTTCTGAGGTCAGAACCTTGGGGGAGAAACTAGTGAAAGAAACTGGGAGGGAGTGCCCAGCGAGGAAGGAGTGAAACCAAGTGAGCAGTGTTGTGGAACAACAGGGAGTGCTGCAAGGAAGACGGAATGACCAATGGTGCCCCATGTGGCCAGAGAAAACGGAGCACAGCCACTGCATTTAGCCCAAGGTGACAGAAAACCTGCAGAGGATTTATAAGGGGAAAAGTGCCATAATATCGCTGTCTTTCTGAATCCTCTCTGCTACAGTCACTGAGGATTCTCAACTTGCAGGCTGAGCATACCCAAGCTTCTACTCACTCTGAATTACAGGCTATCAGCTGGCTTAGACCCTTCATCCTGTGGAGTTTGAAGTCACTTTTGGACAGCTGGGTCTCAGGCACTTGTTAATCCACTGAGCAATGTTTGCTTAATCCCATGTAATCCATATAAAACTGGCCCAAATACAGGGAGTTGCATTCTGATGTAAAACTGGTGTGACATCCAAACAGCATTGAAAAGGAATAAAATTATTTATTATGAAGGGCTTATTAAGAAGTGCTAAAGGGGGATTACTTACTTTCCCAATGCCAAAATTCTGAAATCCCTTTCCTGAGTCTCTCTCCTACCCTTTCACTTAAAAGGCACTGAAACTGCAGCTCAATCTCTCCTCTCACATCTAGAAACTCCTATAAACCCTTGGTAAACATGTCCTAGGCTGGCTCTTTCTCTGCATCTTTTCCTCCTCTTTTGATTCTATTGTCTATTTTATTTTTTCTCCTATCATGCATAGCTTTCTGCCCTTTCTAATGTAGACTGACTTGGCTTTTCTAGGTGATCCTACAATTTTCTTCCCTGCTATTATCAAGATTAATAAAGCAAAGGCCAGAAATGTGACCAGGCAAACACAGAAATCTTAAAAGGAAAGGAGAGTAGGGGAGCAATGCACAGTTATCCATTTCAGGGTGCCTATTTGTCCTACATGTGATGTGACAGAACTCCTTCTTGGATTCACATGTGCAACCAACTCTCCTGTTAGGTCGGAAGTCCACACGAGGATCACCCAGTGAAAGTTCTCAACATACCCCTCTCTGGGTGCCCGTGTCTGCCCAGGTCCATAGAAGGATCTCTAGCCAGAAGTATGGCCCATCCTCCTCAGCCCTGACTGCTGCTAAGAAATTAGACTCTGCCTCTGATTTGACCTATTTCTCCTCCCTTTTGAGGCATGTGGATGGGCTGATTTTCCCCTTTGAGGATTTGCCAAAAGCAAAAATAACAATCCCAACTGCCTGTCACTTAAACAAGAGGAGATTTATTAGATTTACCAGAAAATACATAGTACAAGAGAAATAAAAACAAGGTTAACATCAGGTCAAGAGGTTTCGACTCCAGTCCAGTTAGTTTTTCCCAAAATCATTTTTCGGCTCCTGTTCTGTGGCTGGCTTGCTGGATCCAGTTCCTGATGCCCAGAAAACATCCAGGAAAGAGAATCAGAGGCCCTGGAGGAGTCAGAGCTACAGCCCTGGGTGGCTTCTGCAGTTCTGCGTGTGTGAGTCAGCACGAGGGCTTTTGTGGGATGAGGGGCTGCAAAAGTCAAAATGGCATCTGGCTTCTCCCACCTGTGCTGTGTGTGGTCTGTTCTAGGGTGGTGGTGGGGAAGAATGGCTACCTCCCCTCCTGCTATTAAGCTGGAGGGCATGGAAGGGGTGAAACCAGCTTTCAAATGAAATTAAGGAAGTGAGGGGTAGGGTCTGCAGTTGATAATCCCCATTACCACTTTAGTCCCCCATGAAAATCTGAAGTGCCATCTCTAGCAATCAAAGCTTATTTAGTATCCCTTTAAACACACTGTCCTTTATCCCCTTGGACTGAAAATGACAGCCATTTCCATGGTTACAGAGACTCATGTTCTAGGAAACAATGCAAGATATTCCAAAATAAGTAATCAAAAGAAAAAAGGAAGTTATGGCATGTGTGTAAGGGTGTGTGTGTGTGTTCTGCTCTGATGTGCCCTGACCCTTTCCAATATTCTATTCCAAAACATAATTGTGCTCACCCTTATGAGAGACAGCAAGCTCTGTAAAGATAGGCATTGTATTCATTGTACTCACGACTGTACTCTCAGAGGAGATCCTGACCATCGTTACACATGTTGAATAGTTGAGAGCAGAGAGTATCACCAGCATCACTAGAGTTCTGTCTACTTGAATGAACACTCCATGCTGTCTTTTTTTGCTTCAACCACCTTATTAGATGCTCACAGATAATCTAATGCCTGAGCTGAACTTGAGTTTGCCACAATTCTTGGGATGCTTAGATTTGGGCCACCTCCCGAACTCAATAAAGGATATCTTGAAGCCACTCAGCCGCTTTAGCTAATAACCCACTTATTTCCACATTTATTTCTCTTCTGCCCCCGCAGTAGTTTGAGAAACAAGCATAAAAATGGTAAAAACTAAAAAATGAGTTGATACGTGATCTGAAAGATCTCAGCATTTGAGGTAAGCAACAAACTGTGCTGAATCCTGTGTTTCCCATTCCTATTATAACCACCCACCAGAAAGTGTCCTGACTTTCTCTCTTGCTCTCATATGGACTGAGATGGGATAGTAGCCAGGGCATGAGAGGGCCAGGGTTTTCCAGCAACAGGCAACAAGGCTATTTCCTTGTCTGGGAGTCAACATTGATGGGAAGAAGGGATGGTGGTAAAAAGCACTCACCAGGGAGCATGGAGGAGCTTTCTCAGGGGTTTCAAGGCGTATCTCTGACAAAAGATGCAACCAAATACAAGAAGACCCTAGAGTAAAGCATCAGGAACACAGAGGGGAAGACCTAGATATTCAATAAGGAATTCTGCTGGTCACTTTGGTCTGTTTTATTGAGGATTGTTTATATGCTTTGCCCTGATACTAATCTGATTATGTTAAGCAGCTATATCATATTCTATCATGGGATTATACTTTGATGTTTTTAACTCATTTCTTATTCATGTATATTTAGTTCATTACTCTTTTTTTGCTGTTATGTATAATATGCATACAGCATTACAACTTGTGCTCTAGTTTCTTAGGATAGGTTCGCAAAATTGGGATTTGTGAAGTCACAGGTGAAGACATTGTTAATTTGACAGATATGGCATAGTTACAATACCTAGAAATTTTGTATCAGTTTAAAGTCTCATCCAACAGTACGTGAAAGACCTTCATTATACTTACAAACAGTAGGCATAAATCTTTCGTAGTTTTACTCATCTAATATGTGGCAATCCATATCTAATTATATAAATTAATGTTTATGAATAAAGTGTACTAGTTTCTCACAACTTACTAGTTATTGGCACATCTTTTTGTAAAAGCTTTAATAAAATTTTTGAGCTTTTTTAAATTAAGTTGGCACTGGCATTTTCATTTGCAAAAATGTTTTGTATATTATCAGTAAGGAATTTATGACTGTTTCATGTTTTGCAAAATGTTTCTAAGATAGAAACCATGCCTGTTTTGCGTACAATGGCCCTTCTGTCAATTTGCACAAATTCCAGCCCAGAGTGGACACTCAATAAATATGTGCTAAAGACAATAGATGCACAGTGATATAGAGGCTGTGAATGCAAAAGCTCCTGCCTGACTGAAACCTTTCCAGCATTGACTTACTAGCTAACGTTGCCTCCTTGTCTACCTGAGCTTCAAGAGTGTGTCTTGTTCTATCCATAGGCAAAGACACTTCCTCCTTGGTAAAACTTCATCTTTCTGGTACATGCCTCCCAGATCGTCGATGGAACTCTTACCCACATGAGCACAACTCTTCCTTTATAGAGTATTGACTAGGAATGATAATTGTCCAAGAAAAGTCTTCAGTGATAAAATACACAATTACTTGTATATTTCAGCTTTGTTCTGTTGGTAATTATTTGAATGATAAGTAAGATATTTGATGATATTTCTTTTGTGTTTGGCTCATCATAGATGGTGTCCTTCAATTATTTGCATGTCAGCTCATTCAGGTGAGACGTCCTCCTTCTAGAGAAGGAAAATTTTTCAAAAGTCGATTCATCCTGAACAAAATATAACCATCAAAGCCTAAATATGACAATTCTGTTGTTCTTAACCATCCCAGCCAGTGAGGAAGACTGTAACACAAAAGTCAAACAACATTTTCTTCAATGAAATAACTCAGCCTTTGAAGGTAATCTTAGCCCCTTCTTAACATTCCTGGAAAAAGCCTGACTTATCATCTCCTGTCCAGAGACAAGACTCATCTTGGTGCTGAGGCAAACACAGTTATGACTTCTACCTAATAGCTGAAATGTAACAGCTGTAACTTGTCAAACATTGGGCTGGACACTGAATCTCCTGCATTATCTCTCTCTACGAGATAATTTGTGAAACACCTGACCTACATGGTCACCGTGTGAGAATAGGCAAAGCATAAATACATTTCAAAGGATGTATACCTTTTCAGCAGGGGGCTTGCTAAAAGGAAAAAGTTCTGATTCATTTTCTCGCATAATAGCTACTACACTCAACCTCCAGGGATGAGGGTGGGGTATACTCAGTGGACTAGGGAAGTGAAAATTGTGGGGACTTTGGGAAGTATTTTCTTCCCATTAAACAAACAAAAATCGATTGCAGAAGAGGTTAAATATCTTTATAGAAATTCTACTTACTTCAATTCATCCAGAAACTCTTACATACTTAATATGTTTCAAAAAATACACAGGATAAAGGAAAAAAATAATTTTCTGCATTGGAAAAACTGAACCCTAATTCATAAGAATATTGTACCAAAAAGAATATAAAGATGGTGTTAGGTTCAATTCAATTGAATTCAAGAACCAAGTTGTTCAGCACATAATGCATGAAAAACACTATAGAACATAAGACAAAGAAAACAATTCCTTGTACCCTGGAATTTACCATTAAATTGCAAAGTGTGTATACAGTCAATAAATGCCTAGGAAGTTCATAAATCTAATAATCCCCCCAGGAGACATGAGCCCATGACAACACAGGACAGGACTCTCTCCCATGGAGCTAATGGAGACTAGCATTCTAAGTCACATTTTTAGTCTCTGTAAGCCTCAGTCTCCTCGGCCGGAATAATCTTTTCCATTGCTAAGTGCATCCATGGGCCTGAAAGCACCATGCTATTGCAGAGATAAAGCTGTTAGGATACCGCAGGAGTCCATGCAATGTTAAGTTTTTCAAGGCAACAGGAACAAGCAGTATGTACAATATGTCTCAATACTGCCTTTAACACGCTTAGATTAAGAACAAGGCATCCTTACCCTACTCTACTACCTGGTTTCTCAGGGATGATCCTTCCTGTCTTGCTACACTTTGGCCATATTTTGAGACTAGTTCTCTTTGTGATCCAAAAAAGGGAAAATCAGAAACCTCAGAATTATAGCTTCACTTCTCAACAAGGACAGGAACTGTACAACATGTTAGGTGAGAAAACCCGTGACCAGAGGCTTGCTCAGCATGAATGCATTGAGTAGGAGTCAGGACCTTTGGGAAAACTGAAGGCCGAAGGAGGTCAGAACTAAAGTTGTATTTTTAGGTAGAAAATATAAGTTATTATGAGCCCTACATTTTTTTTTTCTAAATCTATCCCTGCTCTGGTTCATTTTGACCTAAACATCTTTGGAATGGCTGAAAGCAAAATGTATTAAAAATGTTTGCTTCCTTTTTATTTGAGCCCAGGTATAATCTGATATTATGAAATATTTTACTTAAAACAAACAACCAAACCTGTCAAACAGCAATTTTAAAAGTTGGCTCTCAGAGAGCAAGCCACTGAAGTCAAATAAGAATCCTTTTGGAACACTTCAACAGGAAAAGGTATGGCTCAGGGTTCAGACTGGGCAGGGGTCTGGAACACAGGGATGTGCACACGTGGGGAAAAGCTGAGATTATTCCAGCTATCAGGAAAGCACAGTAGTTATTGGAAATCATTTAGGAAAGAAGTGAAGCAGAAGAATGGACTCATATGAACTGTGGGAGAATTTACTTGGATAAAGTACTGTCATACATCCTAGAAGCTGGCCAAGACACATGGTTGGTTCTTGGCTCTGACTTCTGATCTTGCCACATTTAATTTACTTTTTATCTTCCTGACTCTGGAAATACAGTTTTTAAGATGATATTGAGGTATAGAGGAAAGCAGTGGGAAAATCTGCAGTCACAGCATATTTATAATTTAGGGGGGGACCCATGTATTATGCAAAATGGTTCTGTTCCTTCCAAACCAAAGTTGATGAATGACAACAGAAGGCTTCCCCGTGGTTCTTCCAGGGAACAGAAAAGAGAATCATTTAAGACAGCTGACAGGGAGGAACACAAACCCCATCCCCAAGCTTCTGCCACTTATTTTTTTGTCTGTCCACCTTCTCCTTTGAGGGAAGTCAGGCAAGGGGTGGGCATAGCCAGCAGGACTCCAGAGTCAGAAGAGAAAATGGAATATCTTTTATCTTCAGTTATCATTCAAGGTCTAGAGAGCAAACACTAAATGTATGTTGTTTGAAGGTCATGGAGTTTAATTCTGCACTTCTAAACATGGCCATTAGGCAAGGGGGTGGAGATGACATGAAAGTGGTGTTCTTGGAAAAATATTGGAAGCCTAGTAGAGAGAAAAGTGGGTTTTAGTGAACCAAGTATGTCAACAGTAAGGGGAAAAATTTTAGTGTAGGCAAATAAAAGGTGGTCACAGAATTATATTTTCTATGATCCCATGTACCTGGTTGATTTGTGGTTGTATGGATTTGTAAGAGCTGAGTATGTTCATTCAAAAGGCTGGGCAGAGGAGTCCTTCCTTCCCACTATTAAAGGCCCATGCCACACTGGGCCCAGAGAATGCATCCCCTCTAGCATACTCATGGTGTAGCACACAAAGATTTTTTAAGATGTGAATTCAGAGAGGGAGGCAGAAATGCCAAAAACATCCAAAGCCCAGGATAATATGAGGCTTTGAAGGACATATGATTTATCTTAAGTAAAGCATTCTGTCTTGGAATATATTAGCGTATCCCCCAACTTCCTGGGCCCCAACACATTCTTCTGCCTCCCAGGTTGTGTTCTCAAACGGGCCTGTAGGTGAACATTGCTTCAAAGTCTCTGGGGTCCTTTGTTCATTCTAGATGCTGATTGATGCCCAGGTCTCCTTCTGCCTATGACAGTCCCAATCTTCACTCTGGAGGGGACCGTCTTAGATGAAGCCTTCAGGCTTCTTTCAATGTTTTGGAGTTCCTATTCCTGTACTTTGGTCCTAAGCACTAGTTCTTTCCGTTTGACCCATTGAGTTTGCCTAAAATGCATTCAGACAAGCCTGGTGGTAAGGGTATGATCCTCTTGGAAGACTTTGGCTTTTTCAACTGAGCCTAGACAGACATCTGGGACAACCCCTGCAATTGGAAATGCCATAAACCTCTCTTCCATCCTGTTACCAATCAAGTTAGTGGCTTCTTCCTCTCCTTGCCTGATGGCTCTTGTACCATCACTCCCATGCCACTCCATAGCCCATCAGAGTCTAGCCTCCTTTCCCACAACCTCACAGAAAGCTGCTCTCTGGCTTCTGGTCCCATACTCACACAGGCATTTGAGATTTCTCTGCACTGTTTGATGAGGTGGGCTGCCCGCTCCTTGAAACTCTCATCCTTTGCTTTTCTTAACATTATACTCTCCAGGGTGTTCCTCTGTGGCCTCCATTGGTCTCCTTTCTGCCACTTTCCCCACCTCCATTGCCAAATGTCAACGTTCTCCAATTTCCTTCTTGTCGGGCGGCTCAGGGTCAGCACAAAGTGCTGGTTAAGCATCTTTGCCCTGGCACTCAGCTATTTGGGTATGAATCCCAGCTTGGTCACTGGCACTCTTGGACAAGTTTTTAGCCTCTTTGTGAATCAATTTCCCGTGTACGGGAGAAATAACCCTAGTGGCTAACTTACAGAGTTATTGTAAGAATTAAATAAATGAATATATATGCAAAGTCCTTCACACAATACCTGATCACACAGTGAATACCCATTATCTATATTCTGTGCTGATTATTAGCATTTCATCCTTTCTAAGAGCTGTAACTACCAGTTTTACACTCTTAAGTCTATTTCAGTAACTCAAAGCTCTCATTTTAGTTCCAAAATATACTTCCATTTTCCACATTCCTGGGTATGCTGGAAGAACATACAAATCAGCATGTTCAAAACTAAACCATTATCTATGTCCTAAAACCAGCTCTTTTTCCTGCATTTCACATCTGGGTTAATGATACTGCCATCTTCTGGGTTGTCATAATTTGAATTCTCAGAGTTCTTATCTATTACTCCCTCTCTCTCACCTTCCACAATTTTGAACCAAGCTCTGACTATTCATCTTTCAAAATAGTTCTTAAATCCCTTTCATAATCCTTCCTTAATGTCAAACCTTCAATTCAATCCCTTATCATCTCTCACTGATTATTACAATAATTTTCTTTCTCCGATTTTACTCCTTTCTCTAAATCTGTTTCTTTAAAAATAACCATCATGTTTCATGCCTGTTCTAAAAAGTAAACAAATAGGCTGAGCGCGGTGGCTCATGCCTATAATCCCAGCACTTTGGGAGGCTGAGGCGGGCAGATCACCTGAGCTCAGGATTTCGAGACCAGCCTGGCCAAGATGTTGAAACCCTGTGGCTACTAAAAACACAGAAATTAGCTTGGCGTGGTGGCAGACACCTGTAATCTCAGCTACTCATGAGGCTGAGGCAGGAGAATTGCTTAAACCCAGGAGGCAGAGGTTGCAGTGAGCTGAGATCACACCATTGCACTCCCGCCTGGGCAACAATAGCGAGACCCCATCACAAAAAAAAAAAAAAAAAAAAAAAGTAAACCACAGATAAAACAATAGCAACAACACAAGTACTGTAATGGGATCTCCAATGCCTAAAGGAGGAAATGACAGCCTATATTCTTCTATCTCCAAAAACTATCCCTTACTACTTTGAACTCACATCTATCACTTTTCACCTAAGTATCCAAATCTCTGGTACTGAAAATGATTCATAATTTTGCAAAGAAGTCATACCTTTCACTTCTATTTGTAATTATTTCTCCCATTTTCTCTGTTTGACAAGTCCTACTCAGGTTTAAGGTCCAGAACAAATATTCCTTTTCCCAGGCAGTCCCTCCTCCCCGATCCCAAAGCCCAAGACAGAAACTACCAGCCCGATTCTGAGATCTGTCTGTTCTTTGTACTGACCTGCCTACTGAACTTGTAACAGTACAATGATATTTATTTCTGTCTCTTTCTCTTAGCTGTGGGATCATAAAATGCATAGGATCTTTTATCCTATGCATTTGACTTGGATTCTGGCTCATATTAACACTAAGTGAGAATCTATTGGTTGTAATTTTCTAGGAGTGTTTCTTCTTCTTGCAAGTTTCCCTGCAAGGGCTTTGGCACTGGGTTTGCCCAGTGCCTCTTCCTTTTTGACCAAGGCAATTCTTGGTTTCGCCAAGTGCCTGTGTGCTGGCAGTGGGTCCTTTTAACTCACTGACATTGTCACCATGATGGATACTCATCTGGGAGTGGAACATTTTGCCTACAGCCTATCTGAGTAAAACTAATTTGGTTAATGAAAAGTTTCCCGCTGACACTCACCTAAAATTCATATTTACGCAATTCAATGCATTTTATGAAATATGTACAATATTACACCTGTCAGGATAAGTGCTTGTATCTTTTTAGAACTATTTTGGTCCACTTTGCCTAATTTTGAGGATTTCAAGTATTTTTAGATTCAGAAAACTTCCATTTATGAATTTTACATTACATCATATACAATTCATCGAATGAATTCCTTTTGGTGTTCTGGCCTACATTTTGCTCTTTAGGGGCTATTTTAGGAGACTTTGTGCACTATGTGGACTTATAAAGCAAATCAGCTGATACACAACTTGCTATTTTAGTGGAGCATTATACTTTGATATTATGAATGAAATGTCTTTAGTTGCTATATTTTAATCAGTAATCTATGCCATAAAGTGATACTTAAAAATAGCTATAGTTACACCCTATAATGATTTAGCTTAACACTTGAAATTTGTAGCTTATTGCTTTCACTGTCAAAATAGTATACACTCATTAAATAAAATTTGGAAATATGATAGGAGCAAGAAAAAACTTCCTTAGCTATCATTAAATGTTCATAATATTAACATATATTACTTTTCAGTCTTTCTATGATTATTGTTGCAATTTTTATTTAATAATTATTATATTATTTAATATTGTTTTTATTTTACATAGCTTTTACTGATTTGCTATTGTGTTGATACAAACAAATATTAATAAAATATGTGAGATATGAGGTTCACTTTGTAATTGTAGTTCATTCATATTCACTGTTGAACATTATTCTGTTTTATAAATATTCTGGTATCTGGCAATTAATTCTATTGATTGATATTATAGTTTTACTAAAAGAAAGATTTATCCTATGAATATTAGTGATAATCAGATGTATGCTTATGCGGGGAGGAGGTAGAACAAATTGCTGCATCAGAGGGTACCGTTATTCCAAATGCATAGGTCAGAAACAATCTACCGTTATTCCAAATGCATAGGTCAGAAAACAATCTCATTTCCAGCTCTGTTAGTTGAGTTAAAATTATTTTCTAAATAACATTCCACAAGTATGTAAATATACTTGCTATTCCACAAATTTTTAACATTTGCTCTATTGGGGGTTCAATCCAATTTAATAATGATTCATTATATTTTGTACAATTGACAAAATAAATTGTGTATAATTTGATGAGTTTCACAGATACGTACATTCTTGAAGCTACCACCACTATCAAGATAAGAAACATAACCATTACTCCACCCTCCCAAATGTTCTCCTGCTCCTTGGTAATCTAGTCTTGATGGCCCTCTCACCCTGCCTCCCCATCCCCAGGCAACCACTGATGAATTACAGATTCGTGTGCATTGTGGATGACTATTTAAAAATGAAGGCATGCAGTATATAAATTTTGCCAGGTTTCTACCTTCACTCTGCTTAATTATTTAAGACTGTTGTTGTATATGAAAACAGTCCATTCCTTTTTATTGCTGAGTAGTATGCCACTGTATAGTTATATATAACAATTTGGTTTTGCACTGAGCAGTTTTTCACATTTAGATTGTTTTCAGTTTTGGGCTATTTCAAATAAAGTTGCATGAGCATTCAGATACAAGTTCTTGTATATTTATATGTTCTCATTTCTTGGCTCACTGCAACCTCCACCTCCCGAGTTCAAGTGATTCTCCTGCCTCAGCCTCCCGAGTAGCTGGGATTACAGGCACCCACCATAACGCCCAGCTTATTTTTGTATTTATAGTACAGACAGAGTTTCATCATGTTGGCCAGGATGGTCTTGATCTCTTGACCTGGTGATCTGCCCACCTGGCCTCCCAAAGTGCAGGGATTACAGGCATGAGCTACTGCGCCCAGATGAGCACAGGTTCTTAATTTTGATGACGTCCAGTATTTCTTTTTTGTTATTTTTTAATGTATAGATCATGTTTATGGTATTTGTATTAAATATTAGTTTCCTAGGACTGCTGTAACAAAGTTCCGCAAACTAGGTGAGTGGCTTAAAATAACCAAAATGTATTGTTCCACAGTTATGGAGGTTAGAAGTCTGAAATCAAGGTGTCAACAGGGTCGGCTCCTTTGGAGGGCTGTGAGAGAGAATCTGTTCTGTGCCTCTCTCCTAGCTTCTGGTAGTTTGCTGGCCATCTTTGGCATCCCTTGACTATTGGATGCATCACTCTCATCCCTGGCTGTCACATGGCATTCTCCCTATGTCTCTCTTCATTGTCTTCTGTCTGTGCATTTCTGTCATATCCACATCTTCCCTTTGTACAAAGACACTAATCATATTGTATTAAGTTCCCTTTAATGAACTTATTTTAACTTGATTACCTATGTGAAGACCTTATTTTCAAGTAATATCACATTCTGAAGTACTAGGGGTTAGGACATCAACTTTTTTTTTTTTTTGTGGGGACACAATTCAACTCATGACAGTGTTGTGACTAAAATACTTTTGCCTAACTCAAGATCATAAACATTTGTTTTGATGTTTTCTTTCTAGAAGCTTTATAGTTTTATGTTTTAAATGTAGGCCTACAGCCTATTTGATTATTGTATATGATGGGAGGTATGAACTACAGTTTTTCATTTTTTTTTTTTTTTTTTTTTTTTAGTTTTTGTTGTTACTTTTGCATGTGGTTATCTGACTGTTTTATCAGCAATTTCTGAAAATCCACTTAAAGATGCTTTTGGCTCTTTGTCCAAAATCAGTTGTCCATATTTGTGTGGGTCTATTTATGAACTTTATTTTGCCTATCTTCATGCCAATATCACACTCTCTTGACTACTGTAGCTGTTCTTCCTAATAGATTATTTTCAGTTTATCTCATTTCCTCTGAAACTCCAATGGATCTTATGTTAGATCTTTTTATCTTGCATGTTTATTAAAATTTCTCCCCAATTTTCTGTCTTTGTTACTGTTCTTCATTTTTTTATAGTTTTCATTTGATCCTATCATTTGATTATTTAATTCTTTATTCAGCTTTTTAAATTAGCTGTTCAACTTAGATATTGCATTTTCTAATTTTAATTACTCACTGTGTTCCATTTCCAGAACTTAGTTTGATGATTTGAAAAGTCTAGTTGGTTATTTTCTATGTGTTTTTTTTTAAATAAACATAGTTTAAATTTGTTTCTTCAAGCTTATACTCCTAAAGAATAATTCCAATATTGGACATTTGGCCATGTTGATTTTCCTGCCCTTAATGCATGGTACCTCGTTGTCACCATATATGTTTTGTTTTGCTCTTTAACCAAGAGATCTCATTGCTTGAAACTCGATCTATGGGAATTCTTTGACATCTGTTTTGAATTTTCTTTGCTCCAGACAGGATTTGCCACTTCTTCTGTCAATCCTGAGGTTTTGTATTTGTTTCGTTTTGTTTTTGTCAATCATTATCATTGATCAATTTAAAAAGAATTTTTGCTATAATCAACCAAGAACTTTTAATAGTTTTCAGCAATTATGTTCATTAAGTTATCAGGTTGTCTAGACTGCCTAAAACATAAGTATCTAGCTTTTGTTTATTTGTAGCAATTTGTCTAATGACTCATTTGCCAAGAATGCAATTATGTAGTTAATACCTTCAGGAAAATGTTTGAGCCCCTGTCTTCACTTGATGTTATGCTCAGTACCGATGTTACTAGTCATCTTGTAAATATCGACCTTGAGATTTGTATATGATAGAGATATTAATAAACTAATATTTCCAAATCATTATCTTTTTAATTTGCATTTTTATTTTAGATATGATATTTAGTTTTAAGTGTTTTTTTTAAATTTTTAAATTTATGGTATCTTCTATTGAATTTTAGCTTCAAAGGTCCTCTCTGCAGAAGTTGAGTAAAAATAAACGTATACTTATTTTAGAGATCCATTGCTTTATTTTTGAAAATATTTAATTTCACAGGCTTCAGGAATTCATCTTTTTGTGTAATATAAGGATCTGAGCAAATGCCTATTTGTTGCCTCCTCTAGGAAGGAACCACAGCGATCCAGCCCACTTCTCTCCTTTTTGCTTCCTGCTTATTTATTCTCCTAGAACTCAACATAAAGGCAAGACAAAGATTGCTCTGAGGTGGATGCTCTACTCATAAGGAAGACATTGCCACTCCCTGTACATTTACTTGACTTCCTCTAAACATCTACATTTTTGAATACTATATTGACATCGGCTTTTTGTTTGAAATGCTTAAAATAGGCTAGACAGAAAAAATATACCTAAAGAAATATGAAAAAGGGACTAGGCACTGTAGCTTACACCTGTAATTCAAGCACTTTGGGAGGGAGAGGTGGGAACATCACTTGAGCTTAGGAGTTCCAAGAAACATAGTGAGACCGCGAATTCCCAATAGCTGTTAAAATCCACATATAAAACATTTTATAAGTTTGATGTATGGTGTTTCAAAGGAATGTCTCATTCGTAGAGGAGAAAAGTAATATCTCGCCCGTTGCTAGGTTTATGGCTGAGACTCCTATAACGAAAGACAGAATAATGAAAGAAAAGCATACAAATTTATTTAATACAAATTTGATGTGACACAAAGGCCTTCAGAAATGAAGACTCAAAGAAACAGGGAAATCTGTATATTTTTACGAATAGGTTTGATGAAGAGTGAACAGATGTGTAGAAGTGTTAATTGGAGGACGAAAGGCTGTAATCTCATGGTAATAAACAAGGGGACACTCAGCAATGCTTGTTTGTCCAGATTCTTCTTGGTGTTGCTGTGTCTTCAGATGCTCTTTTCCCCCAGGTATGGGGAGGACCCTTCTGAAATGGGGGTCTTATGGCCTATTTTCAGGGTAAGGCCAGATAATTAATTTATGGCATACTTTAGGGGAGAAAGGTAAGAAAAGGTCAGAGAGACATTCCTGCTTTTGGGGTGTTTTTAATTTTCTTTAGTTTAAAATACTCAGTATGCAAGATGCCTTTTTTTTTTTTTTTTTTTTTTTTTGAGACAGAGTCTCTCTCTGTAGCTCAGGCTGCAGTGCAGTGGCGTGATTTCAGCTCACTGCAACCTCTGCCTTCTGGGTTCAGGCAATTCTCCCGTCTCAACCTCCTTAATAGATGGGACTACAAGAGTGCACCACCACGCCCGGCTAATTTTTGCATTATTAGTAGAGACGGAGTTTTACCACGTTGGCCAGGCTGGCCTCGACCTCCTGCCAAGGTGCCATATTTTAAGACAGTGTGTTCTGTGTCCTATCATATTTAGCAAATTATTATTAAAAATAGTAGATTTGGTTTAGCCAAATTGATCTGGGATATCAATTCTCAACTACTCCTATGGTCAACAAATTTCTGTGACTTTCCCCTTAGGAAATGGTTTGGCTGAATCTGATCTCTGCAGGTTCCCCATACTCAATACTGTGACCGGCAAAACCTTTGTTATCTGTAGTAATAGGGAGGATGTCTTCTTACAGTCCTGAATGTGACCTTGATGCAGCCTGTATGAGTGGAGGCTTGGGAAGCCATCTCTGAGGATACTGTCTATTTCAATATTTGAAGCATAAAGCATTTTGAGCACTACTTGCCTAACAGACTCTTATTAATGATAATGAAAACTGCTCATATGTTGATATTAGTCTTGTGAAAGTTTTCCAGATTCCCTAAATCAAGTAGGTTAAATGACTTCATGGGAAGTTGCTAGCATTAATCATTTTGAATGATGCTTAATTTTATTATATGATTTTTTATTCACTAAAATAAGAATCAGAAATTGCTCAGTTAATTCAATTCAGCCCACACCTTCCCAGCTACATAGGTCAATGTAAAGCCTTGGGGCTATTAGCCTTGGGGCCCACAGCTCCAGCCTGAGAACTGTGTAGGTAGGGTCAGTGCTTGTGGGAGGCATGCAGAATGGCTCATGCTGGCCATGGCCATCATTTCTCCTTGTTCTGACCCTGGTGGCCAGGCCCCATTGGTGGTTAGGTACTTGTCCTGAAGCTCTTTTATTATGAGGCTCTAGCTTTGCTAGGAAACTCACCTTTTACCTATACAGAGATTTTATTTTTTAACTTTTCCGTACTCAAACTTGAGGGGTTTGCACCCCCCAAATGTCTCTCTTACCTGTCCACTGTTGTCCATTTTCTTTGCTTCTGCCTTGGTTTAGGATTTATCACAGGAACTTCTTTTGTTGGGGTCTACTTTTTCAATCTTACCCCATAACTTCCTTGCCCCACTAGGGCTGGGACAAACCTCTCTAAGACCCAAATGTCCTTTTGTCCTTCTGCTAGGGAATTCTGGAAAAAGTCAGATGCTTGCAGTGTCTAAGATCTCTTGTGACCCAGCTCATGCATACCATACTGGCCCCTCTTCTTTTTGCTGGTCTTCACAATCCACGCTCCAGCTAGTGAGAAGCTGCCTCTGTTCCTCTGATGTTCTTCTACTTTTGTGAAGAGGGCTCCAACCAAAGCACTTTCCCATTTGTAAAGCTCATTTGTAAGCTGCAAACAAACTCGGCATCTTTTGGGAAGCTTCTTTTCTCACTCAAGGTACTCTTTGACCCTGTTTAGTGATTTGTATGTGGCTCAGTCATGCCTTGTCTTTCATTTCTCATGCCCATCCCTCACACGGTATAGGGTAGTGATTAGCAGAGACAGACTCTCAGCCAGACAGTCTGAAATCACACCCTTGCTGCCCTACTTACTAGCCATGCCATCTTGGGAAAATTATATTCTTTGAGCCTCTTCCTCACACTCCTTTGTACAACAGGTATACTAATGGTATGCAACTCATAGGGGTGACGTGCTAATTACATTAGCTAACAAAGAGTTAAGAAAGTCTGAAAATAGAGTGAAGACCCAGTAAGTGCTATAGGTGCTTTTTTGTTGTTGTTAATTTTAAGAATGTTATTGGCTGGGCGCAGTAACTCATACCTATAACCCTAGCACTTTGGAAGGCCAAGGCAGGAGTTTCACTTGAACTCAGCTCTAGATCAGCTGGGACAAGATAGTGATGAGACCTCAACTCTATAAAAAAGTAAAAAAAAAAAAAAAAAAAAAGCCAGGTCTGGCAGTGCACACCTGTAGTCCCAGCTACTTGTGAGGCTGAGGTGGGAGGATGTCGTGAGCCCAGGAAATCAAGGCTGCAGTGAGCTGTGATTGTGCCACTGCCCTCCAGCCTGGGTGACACAGCAAGACCCTGTCTCAAAAAAAAAAAAGAGAGAGAGAACGTTATTAAATAAATTGAGCACACATTCCATATGGGACAATATTAATGACCAGCATGTGGGTAAGTAGTCCCAGTCTGGCAGAGAATATAATGATTTATTCAGTAAATTTTCACAGAAAAATTGTGAGGAAGATGCCATTATTATTTCCATTTATGGATAAGTCCCCAAGAAAGGTCAATAATATTGCTCCAAGTCATATAATTAATACGTGGGTAAAGTGAGATTTGATTCCATGTGATTTGACCCCAGAGCTTTTACACTCAACTACTATCCTAAATCTTCCCAAACACACTATGATGCTTCTCCATGAATATTTGTTGAATGAATGAATTTTAAAGAATTTTATGAAAATGAGATGGTCTCTATGGAGATCCAGATATATATGGTGTGAGGAATTATAGGCATGTCATATCCCAAAAGATCTTTGCCATTTTGCAATTTCTGAAATTCATTGCATTGGATATGAAAAACTTCAGAGTCCTGGGCATAGAGCTAAAGCTTGGGGGTACCACAGCTAAAAATATTTGAGTTATAAAGTCATATTCCTGGGACAGGACCGTAAGTCCTGGTACAGGAGACAGAGAAGGGGTGAGGAGGCAGGAGGCAGCATAAAGCAGGAAAATCAGAGCTTGGCATGAGGCAGATCTTGCTTCTCATTCTGCTTCTGCCACATATTAGCTGACTCATTCAGTTAACAATTTATCCAATTGTTTATTTATCAGATTTATCAATTTATCCAATTTATCAATGCTTATTGCAATCCTAGTATCTCAGGAACCCACTACTTCTTTCTGAACCTCAACTGCCTCTTATATAAAATGGTCATTGTAGTTCTGACCTTGAAAGATGTTTGAGAAGACTGACTGAGACATACAGAAAAGTACAACTCAGGAGCCTTCTATGTTTGGCTTTCCTACCCCTTTACCAGGCTGTTCCTAGACAGGAGCCTGCTTATGGGTTCCGCTATGGAGGCAGGAGTCAGAAAAGTAATTATTAATATTAATATATACCTCAGAAGGAGAAAGGGGTAAATTTTCCAGCTGAGGTCCAAGGTAAAATTTAGGGTAAGTCAGTAGAGCCAAGGGCAGCTGTCCAAATCAAGTCAGGAAGCTGAGGGTCTGAGGCTGGACAACAAAGGGAGACCATGTTGGGATCAATCTAAGATGGGTCAGGATGTGCTGCTGACTGTTACACTAACCACTTGCTAGAGTTTGAGGTTCATCTGTATATGGGTGGCTGGAGTCTGAGAATGGGTAATGTTAGGAAGGCCTTTTCCTCACTTCTGGTATCTTTGAGGTGATTTTCTCTAAGAATCCTCCTCACTTCCTGCCCCACCATTAATTCTTACTAAAGTGACTTGAATTACTTGGGTGGAGAGAAACAACCATTGATCCAGACCTCTCAATTATATGGAGTTAATCTATCCAAGGTTCTGAACATGGGATATGGGTTCTCATTGTCCTTCTTTCTTCTCCAGGACCAGTGGGAGGTAGAGACATGTGTAAATGAGTGTAATTTGCAGATTTACATTACAACAGATGTGCTGCCCACAAGTGTACACCATGGTTTTTCAGGCTTGGCACTATCAACATTTGGGTCAGATGATTCTTCGTTGGACATGGGGTGAGGGAAGCTCTCCTGTGCATTGTAAGATGTTTAGCAGCATCTCTGGCCTGTACCCACTAGATGCCCATAGCATGATGATAAAAACTGTCTCCAGATGTGACCAAATGTCCCCCATGTCCAAGATCACCTCCTGCCCTTAAGAACCACTGCCCTAGATAGATGTGGGGAGTTGGCAGAACACTTGGACTTGAGAACAAATCATGTCCTCTAATTAAGCTTCTTCAAAAACAAACGATATTTTGGCCTCCATTCTTAGTCTTCCTTTTAACAATTACAGCATGTTCAGAACCCAGATGAGGGTCCCTTCAGAGAGCTCAAGGGGTTGCTTAAGGTGGTTGTGTAGGTCTCAGGTGGACGTGAGCTTTGTTACATGAGCGTTTTTGTCCCTGGGATAATTATTCCTTTCCTAGACAGAGCTGGACAATTATAAAAGAGAGTGCCATGGATACTGCCACTGACCTGATATTTACAGCTGAAGCTCAAGGAGGAGGCTCCATTGGGTCTCCTGAGTATCTTACTCTCGGATGAGTCATGTAGCCTCAGCAGCTGAGTCAAAGTCAAAGGCAGGCACTGACCCTTCAGCTGACTGGCAGGCTCCTCTCAGCAGCTGGCTGATAGGTAGACTAGTTGGCTGTGGTCCCAGCTACATTTTCTGGAAAGGCATAAACAAGATTTTTTTTTGCGGCTGGAAAATTTATCTGTAGGGCTTCTGCAGGCAGTCAAGAGTGAACACTGGGCCTGAGAAGTTTGGACTGGGCAATCATGAGGCTGTTTGACAAAGTTGGGCTCTGTTCCCAGTTGAGCATCACCCATGGGCACTGTGTCCCAGACAGGCTCAATTCTTAGAGCAGAAAGGCTTCATTTTCAGCTCTGCAGAGGCAGCAGCCTTTAGGCTAATTAATAAATCATCAACGCATTTGTGGTGTGAAAAATGAAATATTTATGCTCACCAGAGTAATATTTCTGTCTTGCAGTCCCATGCTCTGTTGATGCCTGATGGAGGATGAAGTAAATACCAGCTGGTGTAGAATGAGTGGAATATAATTACTCTCTACAAAGTTAAGTGAATATTAAAATGCAGAAGTCATAGGCACTGGTGCTTTTCCCTCCCAACTCCACTGCCCAGTAAACAGTATCCTGACCTGATGCTTGGCTTCAATGCAGCTTACAGCAGGGATCTCAGTAAAGGGCTTGCTTGTCAGCAATGTGGAAGCAACTGGGACACAGGCTGCTGAGAAAGGCAGGAAGTCAACCACCTTCCAGGAACGTATGGAGACTTTCCTGATGCCTGAGAGCATGATATGGTGAAAAGAATGCGGCTTTGGACCAGAGACCAAATGTGACCAGAATGTGGCTTTGGAGCCAGAGAGACCCATCTCTGAAATTTACAAGTCATGTGACCTTGACGAAGGTCTCTCCCTTTTCTATACTTCAATTTGCTTAACTAGAAAATGGAGTCATACTGCGTTGTGTGATTAAAGAACTATACTTCAGAAATCACTTGACAAAGTTTTGCATAGTGACACGCAGGCAGAGAAAACTGCAAAAAGAGCTGTAGAAAGATTGGGTAAGTAGTCTACACATGTTAAGGTGATGGCAGTAGAAATGCAAAGGAACGGCTGGCAGCCAAGATGGCTGAATAGGAACAGCTCCTGTCTACAGCTCCCAGCGTGAGCGACGCAGAAGACGGGTGATTTCTGCAATTCCATCTGAGATACCGGGTTCATCTCACTAGGGAGTGCCAGACAGTGGGTGCAGGACAGTGGGTGCAGCGCACTGTGCATGAGCGGAAGCAGGGTGAGGCATTGCCTCACTCGGGAAGCTCAAGGACTCAGGGAGTTCCCTTTCCTGGTCAAAGAAAGGGGTGACAGACGGCACCTGGAAAATCGGGTCACTCCCACCCTAATACTGCGCTTTTCCGATCGCCCTGAAAAACGGCGCACCAGGAGATTATATCCTGCACCTGGCTCGGAGGGTCCTACACCCACGGAGTCTCGCTGATTGCTAGCACAGCAGTCTGAGATCAAACTGCAAGGCGGCAGCGAGGCTGGGGGAGGGGTGCCCGCCAATGCCCAGGCTTGCTTAGGTAAATAAAGCAGCCCGGAAGCTCGAACTGGGTGGAGCCCACCACAGCTCAAGGAGGCCTGCCTGCCTCTGTAGGCTCCACCTCTGGGGGCAGGGCACAGACAAACAAAAAGACAGCAGTAACCTCTGCAGACTTAAATGTCCCTGTCTGACAGCTTTGAAGAGAGCAGTGGTTCTCCCAGCACGCAGCTGGAGATCTGAGAACGGGCAGACTGCCTCCTCAAGTGGGTCCCTGACCCCTGACCCCCGAGCAGCCTAACTGGGAGGCACCCCCCAGTAGGGGCAGACTGACACCTCACACGGCCGAGTACTCCTCTGAGACAAAACTTGCAGAGGAATGATCAGACAGCAGCATTCGCGGTTCACGAAAATCCACTGTTCTGCAGCCACTACTGCTGGTACCCAGGCAAACAGGGTCTGGAGTGGACCTCCAGCAAACTCCAACAGACCTGCAGCTGAGGGTCCTGTCTGTTAGAAGGAAAACTAACAAACAGAAAGGACATCCACACCAAAAACCTATCTGTACATCACCATCATCAAAGACCAAAAGTAGATAAAACCACAAAGATGGGGAAAAAACAGAGCAGAAAAACTGGAAACTCTAAAAAGCAGAACGCCTCTCCTCCTCCAAAGGAATGCAGTTCCTCACAAGCAACGGAACAAAGCTGGATGGAGAATGACATTGACGAGTTGAGAGAAGAAGGCTTCAGATGATCAAACCACTCAGAGCTACAGGAGGAAATTCAAACCAAAGGCAAAGAAGTTAAAAACTTTGAAAAAAATTTAGACGAATGTATAACTAGAATAACTAATACAGAAAAGTGCTTAAAGGAGCGGATGGAGCTGAAAACCAAGGCTCAAGAACTACGTGAAGAATGCAGAAGCCTCAGGAGCCGGTGTGATCAACTGGAAGAAAGGGTATCAGTGATGGAAGATGAAATGAATGAAATGAAGAGAGAAGGGAAGTTTAGAGAAAAAAGAAAAAAAGAAACGAACAAAGCCTCCAAGAAATATAGGACTATGTGAAAAGACCAAATCTACGTCTGATTGGTGTACCTGAAAGTGATGGGGAGAATGGAACCAAGTTGGAAAACACTCTGCAGGATATTATCCAGGAGAACATCCCCAATCTAGCAAGGCAGGCCAACATTCAGATTGAGGAAATACAGAGAACGCCACAAAGATACTCCTTGAGAAGAGCAACTCCAAGACACATAATTTTCAGATTCACCAAAGTTGAAATGAAGGAAAAAATATTAAGGGCAGCCAGAGAGAAAGGTCGGGTTACCAACAAAGGGAAGCCCATCAGACTAACAGCGAATCTCTCGGCAGAAACTCTAAAAGCCAGACGAGAGTGGGGCCCAATATTCAACATTCTTAAAGAAAAGAAATTTCAACCCAGAATTTCATATCCAGCCAAACTAAGCTTCATAAGTGAAGGAGAAATAAAATACTTTACAGACAAGCAAATGCTAAGAGATTTTGTCACCACCAGGCCTGCCCTGAAAGAGCTCCTGAAGGAAGCACTAAACATGGAAAGGAAAAACTGGTACCAGCCACTGAAAAATCATGCCAAATTGTAAAGACCATCGAGGCTAGGAAGTAACTGCATCAACTAACAAGCAAAATAACCAGCTAACATCATAATGACAGGATCAAATTCACACATAAAAATATTAACTTTAAATGTAAATGGACTAAATGCTCCAATTAAAAGACACAGACTGGCAAATTGGATAAAGAGTCAAGACCCATCAGTATGCTGTATTCAGGAAACCCATCTCACATGCAGAGACACACATAGGCTCAAAATAAAAGGATGGAGGAAGATCTACCAAGCAAATGGAAAACAAAAAAAGGGCAGGGGTTGCAATCCTAGTCTGTGATAAAACAGACTTTAAACCAACAAAGATCAAAAGAGACAAAGAAGGCCATTACATAATGGTAAAGGGAACAATTCAACAAGAAGAGCTAACTATCCTAAACATATGTGCACCCAATACAGGAGCACCCAGATTCATAAAGCAAGTCCTGAGTGACCTACAAAGAGACTTAGACTCCCACACAATAATAATGGGAGACTTTAACACCCCACTGTCAATATTAGACAGATCAACGAGGCAGAAAGTCAACAAGGATATCCAGGAATTGAACTCAGCTCTGCACCAAGCAGACCTAATAGACATCTACAGAACTCTCCACCCCAAATCAACAGAATATACATTTTTTTCAGCACCACACCACACCTATTCCAAAATTGACCACATAGTTGGAAGTAAAGCTCTCCTCAGCAAATGTAAAAGAACAGAAATTATAACAAACTGTCTCTCAGACCACAGTGCAATCAAACTAGAACTGAGGATCAAGAAACTCACTCAAAACCACTCAACTACATGGAAACTGAACAACCTGCTCCTGAATGACTACTGGGTACATAATGAAAGGAAGGCAGAAATAAAGATGTTCTTTGAAACCAACGAGAATAAAGACACAACATACCAGAATCTCTGGGACACATTCAAAGCAGTGTGTAGAGGGAAATTTATAGCACTAAATGCCCACAAGAGAAAGCAGGAACGATCCAAAATTGACACCCTAACATCACAGTTAAAAGAACTAGAAAAGCAAGTGCAAACACATTCAAAAGCTAGCAGAAGGCAAGAAATAACTAAAATCAGAGCAGAACTGAAGGAAATAGAGACACAAAAAACCCTTCAAAAAATTAATGAATCCAGGAGCTGGTTTTTTAGAAAGGTCTATCAACAAAATTGATAGACCGCTAGCAAGACTAATAAAGAAGAAAAGAGAGAAGAATCAAATAGACACAATAAAAATTGATAAAGGGGATATCACCACCAATCCTACAGAAATAAAAACGACCATCAGAGAATACTACAAACACCTCTATGCAAATAAACTAGAAAATCTAGAAGAAATGGATAAATTCCTGGACACATACACCCTCCCAAGACTAAACCAGGAAGAAGTTGAATCTCTGAATAGACCAATAACAGGATCTGAAATTGTGGCAATAATCAATAGCTTACCAACCAAAAAGAGTCCAGGACCAGATGGATTCACAGCCGAACTCTACCAGAGGTACAAGGAGGAACTGGTACCATTCCTTCTGAAACTATTCCAATCAATAGAAAAAGAGGGAATCCTCCCTAACTCATTTTATGAGGTCAGCATCATCCTGATACCAAAGCCGGGCAGAGACACAACCAAAAAAGAGAATTTTAGACCAATATCCTTGATGAACATTGATGCAAAAATCCTCAATAAAATACTGGCAAACCGAATCCAGCAGCACATCAAAAAGCTTATCCACCACGATCAAGTAGGTTCATCCCTGGGATGCAAGGCTGGTTCAATATACGCAAATCAATAAATGTAATCCAGCATATAAACAGAACCAAAGACAAAAACCACATGATTATCTCAATAGATGCAGAAAAGGCCTTTGACAAAATTCAACAACACTTCATGCTAAAAACTCTCAATAAATTAGGAATTGATGGGACGTATCTCAAAATAATAAGAGCTATCTATGACAAACCCACAGCCAATATCATACTGAATGGGCAAAAACTGGAAGCATTCCCTTTGAAAACTGGCACAAGACAGGGATGGCCTGTCTCACCACTCCTTTTCAACATAGTGTTGGAAGTTCTGGCCAGGGCAATTCAGCAAGAGAAGGAAATAAATGGTATTCAATTAGGAAAAGAGGAAGTCAAATTGTCCCTGTCTGCAGATGACATGATAGTATATCTAGAAAACCCCATTGTCTCAGCCCAAAATCTCCTTAAGCTGATAAGCAACTTCAGCAAAGTCTCAGGATACAAAATCAATGTACAAAAATCACAAGCATTCTTATACACCAATAACAGACAAACAGAGAGCCAAATCATGAGTGAACTCCCATTCACAATTGCTTCAAAGAGAATAAAATACCTAGGAATCCAACTTACAAGGGATGTGAAGGATCTCTTCAAGGAGAACTACAAACCACTGCTCAATGAAATAAAAGAGGATACAAACAAATGGAAGCACATTCCATGCTCATGGGTAGGAAGAATCAATATCATGAAGGTAATTTATAGATTCAATGCCATCCCCATCAAGCTACCAATGACTTTCTTCAAAGAATTGGAAAAAACTACTTTAAAGTTCATATGGAACCAAAAAAGAGCCCGCATCACCAAGTCAATCCTAAGCTAAAAGAACAAAGCTGGAGGCATCACACTACCTGACTTCAAACTATACTACAAGGCTACAGTAACCAAAACAGCATGGTACTGGTACCAAAACAGAGATATAGATCAATGGAACAGAGCAGAGCCCTCAGAAATAATGCCACATATCTACAACTATCTGATCTTTGACAAACCTGAGAAAAACAAGCAATGGGGAAAGGATTCCCTATTTAATAAATGGTGCTGGGAAAACTGGCTAGCCATATGTAGAAAGCTAAAATTGGATCCCTTCCTTACACCTTATACAAAAATTAATTCAAGATGGATTAAAGACTTAAACGTTAGACCTAAAACCATAAAAACGCTAGAAGAAAACCTAGGCATTACCATTCGGGACATAGGCATGGGCAAGGACTTCATGTCTAAAACACCAAAAGCAATGGCATCAAAAGCCAAAATTGACAGATGGGATCTAATTAAACTAAAGAGCTTCTGCACAGCAAAAGAAACTACCATCAGAGTGAACAGGCAACCTACAAAATGGGAGAAAATTTTCGCAACCTACTCATCTGACAAAGGGCTAATATCCAGAATCTACAATGAACTCAAACAAATTTACAAGAAAAAAACAAACAACCCCATCAAAAAGTGGGCGAAGGAGATGAACAGACACTTCTCAAAAGAAGACATTTATGCAGCCAAAAACCACATGAAAAAATGCTCACCATCACTGGCCATCAGAGAAATGCAAATCAAAACCACAATGAGATACCATCTCACACCAGTTAGAATGGCAATCATTAAAAAGTCAGGAAACAACAGGTGCTGGAGAGGATGTGGAGAAATAGGAACACTTTTACACTGTTGGTGGCACTGTAAACTAGTTCAACCATTGTGGAAGTCAGTGTGGTGATCCCTCAGGGATCTAGAACTAGAAATACCATTTGACCCAGCCATCCCATTACTGGGTATATACCCAAAGGACTATAAATCATGCTGCTACAAAGACACATGCACATGTATGTTTATTGCGGCACTATTCACAATAGCAAAGACTTGGAACCAACCCAAATGTCCAACAATGATAGACTGGATTAAGAAAATGTGGCACATATACACCATGGAATACTATGCAGCCATAAAAAATGATGAGTTCATGTCCTTTGTAGGGACATGGATGAAACTGGAAATCATCTTTCTCAGTAAACTATCGCAAGGACAAAAAACCAAACACTGCATGTTCTCACTCATAGGTGGGAATTGAACAATGAGAACACATGGACACAGGAAGGGGAACATCACACTGGGGACTGTTGTGGGGTGGGGGGAGTGGGGAGGGATAGCATTAGGAGATATACCTAATGCTAAATGATGAGTTAATGGGTGCAGCACACCAGCATGGCACATGTATACATATGTAACTAACCTGCCCATTGTGCACATGTACCCTAAAACTTAAAGTATAAAAAAAAAAAAAAGAAATGCAAAGGAACACTGTGAAAGGCTAGATTTGACAGGTGGTTTGTGTGACTGCAGTGTGAGACTCAATCTCATAGGAGAGAGAGGAATGATGGTTACCAGAGGCTGAGGTGGCTAGGGGAGGGGAACATGGAGAAATGTTGGTCAACAGATAAATAATTACAGTTAGACACAAGCAGTAAGTTAGACACAAGTTAGACACAAGAACTCTATTGTACAGCATGGTGACTATAGTTGATGAGGATATATTGCATTTTTGAAAAGTGCAGAGAGAGTGGATGTGTTCTCACCACAAAAATGATAATTATGTGAGTTAATGTGCTTGCTAACTAGGTAGATGTAACCATTTCATAATGTATATATACTTCAAAACACCGTATTACACACAATAAATGCATGTAATTTTACCAGTCAATTTTTTTTAAAAGGAGGGACTCAGGTTGTGAACTTTAACAGCGGCAAAAACCGAAGGCCCCTCAAAAAGACTAGACAGTCCAGAAGGAATTCCCACTTGGAGGCGGGAGGGGCAGAGCTGTGAGCTCCTCATGGAGGTGGAATTGAGGTGGGCCATTTAAGAGGAGAAAGGGGTCAGTGGGATTTCTCCAGTCTTGGTAAGTATATATACACTTTTACACTTTTAAGAGCATATATCTGTATGCATGTATTATATATAGATGTACATTTCAACTGAGAATTGCTTGGAATTCAATTTTTCTTTTTTCTTTTTTTGGTAACTATTCAGGGCCTTCCCACCTTGCAACTTAAAAATAATTTTGGAACTCTAAGTATACAGATAATATGTGTGCTTCATAATCAGAGCTACTTCAGCCTTCCAGGCAGCAAATAATAATCGGCCAGGGTTTCTTGTCCCCTCCATAACTCCTCAAACCATGCACATACAATTACCACTTAGCAAAACCTCCACCATGCAAAGACTACGCAGCTCTCTCTCTTCCGTTCTGAGGGCCTCTCTGTCTTTCATTTTTCTCACTGAGTGCCTCATAACCAATCCAAGCACTGCCTGATCAGGGCTGTTTAAGTTTTGGAGGACTCGACTTCACAGGAGTCTTTCTTTCACCTTTGCTTGGACCTCACTTTGAAGGTCCATTGTCATCTCTGTGTAGAATCTCTGTGTTATTAACCCTGCCACTGGGGTTAACTGCTTTTAGAGAAGCAGATATGTGGTGTCCAAGGGAGGGTGAATGGGGTACAAAAGATATCCCTATTTTATATAGGATTCCACAGGACTCCAAAGTCCCTGCCCTTAAAGACCAATAGATCTCCACAGGATATAACATGACATTTATGAAACAATTACAAACCAATGGAGTGTGCACTTGAGTGTTTTAATATTTAATAGATGGTAGGTATTCTAGGAAGAAGAAGGGAATTTATCTTTCTTAGCACCTATATGTAATCACGGTTCTATGAATGTTATATAAAGGATCTCATTTAATTCTTGCACCCATCTTGTAAGGTAGGCATTTTACAGTTGGGAAAACAGTCTCAAAAAAATAGTTAAGTTTATTGTTTTCAATTTCTGCATCCATTCCATCTTTCCTTCTGCATCTATCCCTGCCTTCAGGTGGCTCAGTCAAGATGTGGATGGCAAAGCATGCACATACTGCCTTTGTTTTAATCTTTTGGGGAGTCCCAAGCCCAATAATAGCAATTCTCCATGCACAACTATTTTTATTGAACATTAAGACAAAAAATTAGCAAAATGGATATCATAAAAGCTCTTTTATCATAATGAGACTGGAGAGAGAGAGACATATCTTTGCAGATCATGGCCTTCATACTGGTCCCCAGAATTAGATAGACAGACCCACTCAGGAGTTATCAATGCTGAGACCCTGAAAGTCTCCTGAATTGGGGCTGGACCTTTCCTGTGAGGTTGGCATGTTGCAGAGATGGGTGGAGAGCACACAATGTACTCCTGAGAGGAGGAGGGAGTCTCTGGGCCAAACACACTGCATTTATTCTTTCACCTTTGCTAATAAGGTAAATTGCTTTACACACAATGGGGGAGAAGCAAGTGAAGGGACAGAGAGAGGCCAGGAGTATTTTGTTAGTGATGAACTTTTACCTGGAAGGAAAGCAGGTATGGAGAATACATACTGCCTGTTTCTCTGCTGTAGAAAACTCTCCTAATCCTTTAAAATATTCCACCTTTTACTTCCTCCACCATCTTGTTTTTAGATGATTTGTCTGACAGTGGGTCTACTTCTTCACATCACCTCTGCTGTTCTGTCCATTATGTGTTATCTCCTCCTTCCAGTCTTTGCAGTCATCTTCGATGTGGTAGCAGTTTTCTTTACATTCAAAGTTATCACATTTCCACCCATGATTTCCCCTGATCACCCCCTCTGCTTCCCCCAGCCTTCTAGGTGAGGTATTTTCATACTCACAAGTATTTAGGATATCTGAGAAGACCTTGCACCTTTGTTTTGTTCACACTTTATTATTCTTCCTTTAAGTCAATGTCCATTCTTCCTTCCACATCCTAGGAGAGCCTCTTTGTTTATTCATCATTTATTTTTGGTGTTTTTATAAGTCTTGCTTTCCCCGCCCCTGCTCTCTCTCACTATATAAAATGTGCTCCCCAGAGTACCATCCTCAACTGTCTTCTTAGGCTGTATCTCCTGTACATGCTTTCAGGAGAATTATTATATATTATATATACATATGATTATAATAATATATATTATTATATATATAAAATAATTCTAAAATTTCTATCTTTTTCCTGGGCTGCACACACATGCATGTGACCACACCTGTATTTACACTGCCTAGCGCATATGTATATCTAGCTGTCACACTGCCTTTTCAAACTGGACATGGCCAAATCCTATTTTTCTTTCCATATTTGTCTCAGTTAATACTTCTAATATCTGTTTAATTAAAAGTTTAGGCATTATCTACAATGCGACTCTACCTATTTTCTAAATAATAGCTTTTATCATTATTTGATTAAAACCTTTTAAGGTTCTGTTTTACCCAAAAGATTAAAAAGACAAAATCCTTGGAATTTAAATATGTGTCTTTATGAACTTATCATGGTTAATTTTATGTATCACCTTGGCTGGGCCACAGTGCCCAGATAATTGGTCAAACTTATTCTGCATGTTTCTATGAAGGTGCTTTTTAGATAAGGTTAACATTTAAATTGGTGGACTTTGAGTAAAGAGTATCCTCTATAATGCAGGTGGGTCTTATCTAATCAACTGATAGGCCTTTCTTAGATCAAGCTCTGGTCTCCACTAAGCAGAAGGAATTCTGCCAGCAGACTGCTTTTGTACTTGAATTATAACTCTTCCTTTGGTCTCAAACCTGCTGGCCTACTCTGCAGATTTTGGACTTACTAAGCCTCAGCATTCCTGGGAGCAAATTAAAAGTGCTCTCGCATATATACATACATGTGAGCTAATTACTCTCATATGAGAGATATTTTATATATACATATGATTATATGCATATATGATTATACACACATATATGAGCTAATAACATACTTTATAGCTAATTACTTATATAAGAGAGAGATTTTAAGTAATTAGCTTATGTGTGTGTATAATCACATATACATATAATCATATGTATATATAATATAATCATATATATATGATTATACACACACACATCCTTTTGTTTTTGTTTCTTTGGAGAATCTTAATATAAGATCTATTCCTTTATTTTAAAATAAGAACATTTACCTTTTCATATATTAAAAAAATTAAGAAACAATCAAATGAAAATAACCAAAGAAGAAGCCATCAAACAGAAAAACAATTTAAAGCCACTACCGACACAAACCTGTAGTCCAGCAGTGTCAAAGCTCCTGTCGTTCTGGATGCATGATACATTCTTCAGTGCCTCCGTGCAGTGTGACAGGCTGGTCTGTCATCTTGGGATTCTCTTCCACTTTCCTTGCCTGGCTCTTCTTAGCTTCTCCAGGCAGGTTTTTATGTGACCTTCTCTGTGCTCCCATAACATACTGTCCGTATCTTTATTTTGGCAGTTTCCATACTGAATGACATTTATTTACATCTGCTTTTCTCAAAAGATTTAAACTCCTTAAAGACTGGAACTCACAACCCTGGCACCCATTGTGTCCTAAATCAATCTTGGTGGAATGGAATAGATTTATTCTATAGCTGACTTCTCCCCATTTAATTCTTACTGCACACAGAAGGTATACTCAATTCCTCAAAAGAAAACCAAATCCTGCTCCCTTCCTCCAAAGGAGAGGGGGATTATTTTATGGGCTATTTCATGTGAGTCCCTGACATCCAAGCATTCTCTGTTCCTTCATTTCCTTCCACATCGAAGTGGTCTCCTAACTTTGAGCAGGAAGCCCAGGAGAGAAATATGGCTGACTCCTGGGGATCTAAGATCTTGCAGAGCATTGGCGATCCTGAAGGACTCATGACCCATGAGAGTAACAGCTAGTGTTAAACATGTACACAAGGTGACTTCATAGGAAGCCACTGCTTCTTGCTCTACTGAAAGTAATGAATGCAGAGATCGTCACACTAAGACCATCCCTGTTTTTCTTTAAACCTTTGGTGGAATAGCCAAGGTCTTTCATCATGGACTGGGGGCTTCTTGAGGGCCAGGACTGTGCTCTTCTCTCCTTAGGGCTCCCATTGTGTAAAAACAATACATAGATATATAAAGGTCTGTTTCTCATTAGCTATTCTTAAATATTGCCTTGAGTTGAATGGTATGCTAGGAGTATCTCAGCCTGGGTGCTCACTTCTCTGAAGTATAGAGAAACAGATGTGATAAGTTATAAGAGAATCTAAGGAAGACCTTGTTCCTTCCTGAAAACTGAATCTATAACATTATTACCTAATATAACAATGTATAACAATATTACATAACCAGATACTTAAAGAAAGATCACGAGATTTAGTGTAAGATGTATGAATCTAAATTTTGCCTTTAGCACTTACTATACGATACTGGGAAATTATTTGACCTTTCTAGTCTCATTTTCTCATCTATAAATTAGGCCTCATAAATTCCTTCTTCAAAACATTGTCGTGAGGTTTAAATGAATTAAAATATATCAAGTGTCCATAAACAGAAGTCTGTCAATAAAATCATTGTTGAATCTGAGTCTTCAACACCCTCTTTATTATAGGCAATCACAGTTCTTTTTTTCCCCCACACTCTGTGCCATAAACCTTGCCAAAACACTCAGACTATATTAACCCTGCAGTAATAAAGAAAAAACAGCAAGCTCATTTGGGAAACTTCCAATAGCAAAATCGTCTATTAAAATTTGAAAATCATATAAAAACTGTATGACCACAATAGCCTCTTTCTCTTTTGCTTGGGAACCAGAGGTGAACATCATATTTCCAGTTCTCAGCTTTTGCTGTTTGCTTCCAGAAAAGACAAGTGCTGGTTATTAGGGCCTGTCAATAAATTCCAGAAGTGAAGCAAATCTTACTCAACTGACTGACAGCTACAAATTAATTTTGCCTTCTTTAAACAACTAACCAGTTTCATGTTTGTGCAGCTGACAAGACTCACTGTGCGCTCTCTTGGCCCAGCACAGCGTGCTCCGCCCATCATCATGTAGTGGGAATTATTCTGCCTTCACTCAGCTTGTTAATGGGAAGACAGTGCAATCTGCTGAGCATAGAGGACTTTAGCTTAGAATTCTTCCTGTTCAGAGATACACAGGCATGCTAGGAGATGTTTATAGCAGAAATGACCCCATACTCGCAGGGGGACAACTCAGTTCTATCTGCGATTTCTTATCACAGTTCATTCAGCAGCATTTGACCAAATACTGTGTTAAAAGCTGAGATGAAAAGAAAAATACTAAAGATGTCACAGGCTAACAGCAAGAAAGGCACAGATGAGGACTATTTGTTGTAATTATGAAACCTACAATAGGCAGTGGGGACCCAAAGGAGAGGGGAGTTATTTTCTGGGGAGAGGTTGGGGTGTAAAAATACGTCTCCAAAGAGGTAACTAATTTGTTGGTATTTGTTTTCTTTTTTAAGCGAGGTACAACGTACATACAATAATGCTGACATTTCTTCATTGTACAGCTCAATAAATTTTTGCATATGTGTATACCCATGTAATTATCTCCCAGTTCAAGATATTGGATGTGGCATTTTCATCTCCCAAGAGGGCTTCTTGTGCTCCTTCTTACCTCCAGGAGGTAACTACTATTTCATCACTATGGATTATTTTTGCCTGCTGTTGAATTTCATGTAAATGAACTCATATGATATGTTCTCTCTTATAAGTGGCTTCTTCGGCTCAACATTTGTCTGTGAGATCCATCCCTGTGCAGTGCGCACCCGTCACTCTTTCTATTGCTTTGAAGTATTACATTATAGACACTGGCATTTGAAGAATGAGTACAAGTTGCTCCCAGGTGGGTGGCTGCGAAGAGGCACAATCTAAATTTAAGCATGTTATATTTGTAGGGGTAGCTTTAATAACATGATAGGGATTTGGGGGTTGATACAGGAGATTGGGCTGAAAAAACAGATTGGAGCTACACTGGGAAGAACGTAGAATGCAATACAAGATGTTTGAAGTCTGTTTTGTAGAGAATTCCCCAAAATCATCAGAGTTGCTTAAAGTGGAGGCACGGTGCAATCAGATATGAGCGTTAGATGCATTATTCTGGTGTAAACATGACAAGGGCAGGGCAGCAAGGAGAATCCAGAGTCAGGGAATTAGAGGCTAGGCCATCACAGTAGACCAGGTGGCTTGATTTGGAGTCAAATGAAGGAGACAGTGGAGTAATCAGAGAGAGATTAACATGCTCAAACAAGGAGAAGAGACAGGGAGGAGTCAGGGAAAGGAATTGATTTTCTGGCTTAAAAAAAAAACTGAGTTCCAGAATATAAGACAGAAGTAGTTGATTAAATAAGAAATAAGCAACCACTTTTTGAGATTCATCTGAAACTGGATGTGAGAGTGAGGGAGAACACTTAGCTTTTGCTGACACACCCTTCCCTCACCCCAGGTGCCCCCTCACTGACCCACGCTGACCTCTGGCAGCGCAGCCTTTAGGAAGAGATAACTCAAAACGTCTTGAGGAATTATGCACATTTAATTTACATCTAGGTCTGAATTCTCATGCTGCTTTCCTGTCATTTTGCCATTTTGAAGAATAGCATACCAGGGCTTTTTATTCCAGCCCTGTGGTGGTGCCGTTTTTGAGAGAATAAATCCCAAGTAGTGTTGCTAAGAGCCAGTGACATTTGCCATGTTTGAAAAGGCCTCATTTTGAAGAATGATTATCGATTCTTTTGCACATTCAGATCGCTCCTTTGATGCTGCCTTTTACTGGCCCTGGTGAGTGACCCTCAGCTGTGTCCCTGGCTCCTTGGCACAGTAGTTCACCCACAAAGAACGTGGTGTTCTTCCAAGTGGCACTCACCCTGTGCCTGTCCACAGGATAAGTCACTGTTTCTCTGAATATTTCATCACACAGAGGAATGTCTCCAAACCTCACCTGGGTTGTTGAAAATATGTAGATATGCTTATAAACGAACACAGGTGATGATAGAGTGTGTGGGGAGAGGAATAAGAGGCATCAAGGCACTTCATTAGGACACATGATGGTAATTCTGGGACTACGTCATCTCCAATTACAGCCAAGGTGTGGGCGTTCAATTTTTAGGGAGAAGTACAACTGGAGAGAGAGGGTAACAGAGGGGCATGGAAGACCAGGAAATGTGATAAATAGACTATTGTAATTGCATGCAATTGACTCCCAAGGAATAAATATTGAAAAGAAATATTAGGTGTAGGTGGTGTCTCTGCAACACAGGAAGGCCCTTGATTTCCATTTCCAGGATCCAAGAGAGACTTACCCATATATCTCAGGAATTTTGACATCACTTGTGAGTGTTAAAAGTGAAAGCTCACATTCAATCGCAGTGACATTTTTTGTGAACCTAATGGGAAAAGTTAAAAAAGAAAAAAAATAATGAGGCAAGTCTTGGTATATAACCTGAAAATTTGAAATGGGTTATTTATTCTTTATTACATGTGTCCCTTGATATTATGGTGTCTTCAGTATGTTGGCCAGAAGAATAGAGAGGGCATTAATTCTCAATGAATTTCTAAGATTGAAACACTGCTTCATACCTTTTTGGAAGGGTAAGTCTGATATATATATAAAATATATTACAAAATATATCAGAAAATATATAAATATATATTGTACACATACACACATATAATTACATATAGTTAAGTACTTAGCATTTGGAAGGTGAAGTCTTTCTTTTAGACCAATCCTCTGCAGCTGGATTGATGCAAAAATATAAATGAAAGTGTCTCATTTAGGCCAGGTGTGGTGGCTATAATCCCAGCACTTTGGGAGGCTAAGGTGGGTGGATCACCTGAGGTCAGGAGTTCGAGACAAGCCTGGCCAACATGGTGAAACCCCGTGTCTACTAAAACCACAAAAATTATCTGGGCACAGTCCGGGCACCTGTAGTCCCAGCTACTTGGGAGGCTGAGGCAGGAGAATCCAGGAGGTGGAGGTTGCAGTGAGCTGAGACCATGCCATTGCACTCCAGCCTGGGCAACAAGAGTGAAGCTCAGTCTCAAAAAATATATATATATATCTCATTTATACTTTACAGAAATAGAGATTCTTCTGTTTTAGACCAAGAGATCCAAACCTGTGTTCTTAATGACTACTGTTTTGCCAGCACTGAGATTTCTAAGCAGAGAGTCTATGAGACCAACTTGACACGAGGTGGTAAAAATGTGTCCACAAAGGACAGACAGTACCGTGCACTCTGTCTTTTGCTTTCTCTGAATATATTCTTTTCTCATGCCAGCACCATCATGGACCCAATACTGCTTCAGAGGTGTAGTGCTTGATTTGCAGAAGTTTACTAGCCCAATTAAGACCAGGACCTGCAGTGGAACATGCTGCCTTCCTGTGACTGAGGTATCTGGGCAAGGCTATGGCACAAAGAGAGGACCTGAAATTGATGTTGCTTTTGTCAGATGATATATGTAAGTTTTTTCCCTCTGGCTAACGTGGTGAAACCCCGTCTCTACTAAAAATACAAAAAAAATTAGCCGGGCATGGTGGTGGGCGCCTGTAGTCCCAGCTACTCGGGAGGCTGAGGCAGGAGAATGGTGTGAACCTGGGAGGCGGAGCTTGCAGTGAGCCCAGATAGCACCACTGCACTCCAGCCTGGGCAACAGAGCGAGACTCCGACTCAAAAAAAAAAAAAAAAAAAAGAGCTGTATCTTCCCATTTCCTATTTAACATTAGAACAAGATACTTTCTTTTATATTTTTGCATCAACCTCCATACTACTGAGAGGTGACAGCGTGCTGGCAGTCCTCACAGCCCTCGCTCACTCTCGCTGCCTCTTCTGCCTGGGCTCCCACTTTGGCGGCACTTGAGGAGCCCTTCAGCCCACCGCTGCACTATGGGAGCCCCTTTCTGGGCTGGCCAAGGCCAGAGCCGGCTCCCTCAGCTTGCAGGGAGATGTGGAGGGAGAGGCGCGAGAGGGAACTGGGGCTGCGTGCAGCGCTTGCGGGCCAGCTGGAGTTCCAGGTGGGCATGGGCTTGGTGGGCCCCGCACTCGGAGCAGCCGGCCGGCCCTGCTGGCCCCGGGCAGTGAGGGGCTTAGCACCCGGGCCAGCAGCTGCGGAGGGTGTACTGGGTCCCCCAGCAGTGCCGGCCCACCGGCGCTGCGCTCGATTTCTCGCTGGGCCTTAGCTGCCTTCCCACGGAGCAGGGCTCGGGACCTGCAGCCCGCCATGCCTGAGCCTCCCACCCGCTCCGTGGGCTCCGGTGCGGCCGGAGCCTCCCCGACGAGTGCTGCCCCCTGCTCCATGGCGCCCAGTCCCATCAACCGCCCAAGAGCTGAGGAGTGCGAGCGCATGGCGCAGGGCTGGCAGATAGCTCCACCTGCAGCCCTTGTGCGGGATCCACTGGGTGAAGCCAGCTGGGATCCTGAGTCTGGTGGGGACGTGGAGAGTCTTTATGTCTAGCTCAGGGATTGTAAATACACCAATCGGCACTCTGTATCTAGCTCAAGGTCTGTAAACACGCCAATCAGCACCCTGTGTCTAGCTCAGGGTTTGTGAGTGCACCAATGGACTCTCTGTATCTAGCTGCTCTGGTGGGGCCTTGGAGAACCTGTGTGTCCATACTCTGTATCTAACTAATCTGATGGGGATGTGGAGAACCTTTGTATCTAGCTCAGGGATTGTAAACGCACCAATCAGCACCCTGTCAAAACAGGCCACTGGGCTCTACCAATCAGCAGGATGTGGGTGGGGCCAGATAAGAGAATAAAAGCAGGCTGCCCGAGCCAGCAGTGGCAACCCGCTGGGGTCCCATTCCACACCGTGGAAGCTTTGATCTTTCCCTCTGCAGTAAACGTTGCTACTGCTCACTCTTCGGGTCCACGCTGCTTTTATGAGCTGTAACACTCACCGCAAAGGTCTGCAACTTCACTCCTGAGCCAGCGAGACCACCAGCCCACCATGAGGAACGAACAACTCCAGAGGCGCCACCTTAAGAGCTGTAACACTCACTGTGAAGGTCTGTAGCTTCACTCCTGAGCCAGCGAGACCACGAACCCACCAGAAGGAAGAAACTCCGAACACATCTGAACATCAGAAGTGACAAACTCCAGACACGCCACCTTAAGAGCTGTAACACTCACCGCGAGGGTCCGCGGCTTTATTCTTGAAGTCAGTGAGACCAAGAACCCACCAATTCTGGACACACTACCTTTCCATGGATTCATATGCATTAACAATTTACGGCTTCGTACAGGAATTCTCAAGTGTTAGTTTACATTATAATCACATGAGCAATGAGTTTAAAGTGCCACTGTCAAAATCTAGCTTTAAACTTAGACATACTTTGTAAGTCACATAAAATAATAATAATAATGTTGATATGACCACCATTGGTTTTATCAACTTAAACTCCTCTTCAAAATTTACTCTAACTTCAGTTGTGGCATCAAACTCATCCGGTACTGGACTAAGCTCTCAGTTTTCAAGTTCTGGCTGCTTCTGAGAGTTGCATCTGCCTTCAGTTCATTGGCTTTGAATGTTTGAATCATTAGAGGTATGGCTTTCCAGCATGCTGTTCAGTGAAGAGTTAATTACTGCATACATCACACCTTCCATGTGCTGGAAAAGGACCAATGAGCCTACAGGTGGTGACTCTA